>NC_000004.12:113921381-114072896 GCF_000001405.40 Homo sapiens
GATTCTTTTTGCTTATATAAGCTCTTTTTCTTATTATCTTGGATGATAGCTTTTCTGTTTTAACGTTGACTGAGAAGGGGCAAAGGCTCTCAAAGTTATTCACCTGAAACTACAAAATTTATTTAAAAGCATAAGGAATGTAACCTTTAACCAAGGCTCTGGGCTCTAGATCTCACAAAGCCAGTTAGATTCAGTGGCTTGTTATGGTGAAATTTGTTCACCCAGGCTGTAAATGAAGCCACCAGCTTAGTGAATATTAACTTTAGGAATAATCTCACTAGCCTTGTGTTAATTCAACTTGTAACATAGCCTAGCTTCTCTTCTTAGTCAGAATGCTACTGCACTTTGAGGCCAGCTTTCTTTTTTGCAAACTGCTGAAATAAAGACTATGCCTAGCAGTTTCTCGGCCAAATATGACATAAAATTTCATCTTTCACAATAGTCACATGCAGGCAACCTGGGCACAACAACCAAGAATGGAATACCTTGGTGAAAACTTCAGGTGGACAGTGAGTCTAAATAAATGGGCAAATAGTTTAGTCTATTTGTAAGGAATTCTCAAATAGTTCTAAGAAGAAATCAAATAACAGCCATCATGCTTGGACAACATGGACAGGGCAGTTGTTTCTTTACCTTGTGATCCAACTTCCCCATACAAATGTGAAAGACAGCAGTATCAACATCATAGTTTGTGAGGAAGGTGAAGTAATGTCTACTACAAGAAAGAACATTTTAAAAATCAAGGAAATATCTCTGTCTCTAATTCTCTTCCCAAGGGACATCTTCTGATTAAGTAAAATCTTATGCCTTAGTCAAAGATATTATGTTAGAAAAGTACTGTGCTGAAATTCGTGGTGTGAAATTACAAACCAGCCCAAATCAAATATTGTTATTCAATTTTAAAAAGTTTCAATTACTAAGAGTTTGTAATCAACAAAGAAATGTAATTTAACACTTAATTTTCATATTTGATATGTAAACAGGATTACTAACAAATATTCTAATTATTCTTTCATGATTAACTATTGTTCCATGTTTAATTATGAAATGTGTAACATGATATCATCCCATCAGCTCTATTGCTATGCAATATATTTCCCCCAAATATATTAGACATGTTCTGCAGTTGATGGAAGTAATGGTAGATTCAACTCTGACCAATCACTGTTATATTTTCACTACCTGGAAAATGACAATATTTACAGCTGTCTTCATGCTTTTACTTATACATTACAGAAAACAAGAAAGTACTATTTGATAGTAATTAGATAGCATCAAAAAGATTTACAGTAATATGAAACAGTGTAACAATTTAGAATGCTCTATCTGGTGATTTGTTAAACATGCCAGTTTTGCTTGGTTATATGAAAGCAATTTTCTTAGTATAAGTCAGATTCTTTCCAGTGTACTCCATGGAACAGTGCAATTTGTTGTACTACATACAAAAATGTTAAATGACCTATGTAAAGTTTAATTTTATATGTCAACTTGGCTAGGATATGGTAACCAGATAGTATTCTAGATGTTTCTGTGGAAGTATTTTTAAACATGAGATTATCATTTAAGTCGGTTGACTTTGAGTAAAACAGATTACCCTCCATAATATGGATGGGCCTCTCTGAATTAGTGGAAGGCCTTAATGAAAAAAGACTGATGTCTCCTGAAGATGGAATTCTGCCGGCAGGTTGCCTTAGGACTTGCACTGCTGCATTGGGGTCTTTCTCCTCTGGGTCTCCAGCCTGCAGGCCTATCCTGTATATTTTGGGCTTGCTAGTCTCCATGGCTGCATGAGCCAATTCCTTAAAATAAATTTCTTTCTTTCTGTTTATATACATCCTGCTGTTCTCTTTCTCTACAGAAGACTAATACAAACTATTTCTTGGAATAATAAAAGATGCCTTTAAAGTGTCTTAGAAATACATTATTCTTGAATGCCTTTAATATTTCTTGAACTTTCAGAGAATAAAAAATAATATAGAAGCAAAATTTTGAGGAAAATAGCTCTTAGATTTCAGCCTATGTAGATCAGAGTAAACTGAATTCTACTTATTCTTCAAAAGAAAATATGAGACAAAAATTAAGAAAGAGGAAAAAACTTTTATTTCACACTGAAAGTTGTAAACAAGTTTCTCTAATTAGCGTTAGATTTTCTCTATTGCTCAATAAAATAGTAAACAGGAAAGATTTTGTTCTTTAGTTTCTTTTTAAATTTTCTTAGTAAACAAATATTTTCAATGGTGTATACATTTCCAGCATCCTTTCCAACATCCTATTTGCACTGCCATTGTCCATGTTTAAAAGTAAGGGAGAAGTGATTTAACTAAATAAAATGAAAATTCAGTTTCTTAGTTATATTAGCCATATTTCAGATGTTCAATAGCCATATGTGACTAGTGGGTACTGTATTGGATAGTGAAGATGTAGAACATTCCTACAAAAATAAAATTATCCTATAAAATAAAATTTCCATAAAAATAAAATTCCTATAAAAGTTCTATTGGATCACATTTCTCTAGCATAAGACTGCATAGGTTCAAATTTAGTTCTGGAGCTAATTATCAAGTGAATTTGTCTTCTCTGTGCTTTAGTTTTCTCATAGATAGTATAATAATAAATAGAATCTACTATCTATAGAATCTACATATATATATATAAATATATATAAATATATATAAATATATATAAATATATATAAATATATATATATATATATATATATATATATATATATATATATATAAAGGGGAGTTTATTAAGTATTAACTTACACAATCACAAGGTCCCACAATAGGCTGTCTGCGAGCTGAAGAGCAAGGACAGCCAGTCAGAGTCCCAAAACTGAAGAACTTGGAGTCCAACGTTCGAGGGCAGGAAGCAGCCAGCATGGGAAAAAGATGTAGTCTGGGAGGCTAGGCCAGTCTCTCCTTCTCATGTTTTTCTGCCTGCTTTATATTCGGTGGCAGGTGATTAGATGGTGCCCACCAGATTAAGGGTGGGTCGGTCTTTCCCAGCCCACTGACTCAAATGTTAATCTCCTTAGGCAACACCCTCACAGACACACCCAGGATCAATACTTTGTATCCTTCAATCCAATCAAGTTGACACTTGGTATTAACCATCACAAGTCCACCCCTTGTCAACTTGAACCCATACACATCTCCTGAGATGATATATAATTTTCAAATAAAGACAATAATAAGGTCATAATTACACCTAACATAATACAACTTCCTTCATACAACCAGAAGTGCACTAATCCCCACTCAAATACTATTACATAAAGTTTCAACAATACTTAAAAGCTGATAGAAAGTCAATAAATCTTATGGCATATGATAAAGGAAAAGAAAATGAAGATATTTTCTTAGCATAAGTGTTATACATGCACAAACATGTTCTTAACAAAAGAGGGAGGAAATACTCATGACAGTTACAGTCCTCGTTTCTGCAGCTGGTCACATGGTCGTAGCTGGTATTGATGACTACCTTCTTCTACTACACATTCTGTATTACCTTTGCCCTCTGCAAGCACCTCAGCAGGTTGTGGTTTTTTTTCCTGGTGGACTGACCCAAACCTTCATTCCTGAAGGGTCTGGAACATTTGTAGTCCTGCCGGGATTGGGCTGTTGTAGTTTCCCATTGACCTTAATCACAGGGCATGGTAATACTAAGAGACACCCTAATGGAGCTCCTGTATCCATGCATACCTCCGTTATGGAGTAGTAGACTGATTTCACCTTGATATTCCGGGTCAATCACCCCAGCCAACACTAACTCCCTTCTTAGCCTGTTGACTTAAAGGTAGGAGGAACCCAAAGTGTCCAGGTGGCAATCTTAGCTTCCAGTTTAATGGAATCTTTAAGTCTCCTGGTGGCAGCATTCCTCCCTCTAGAAGTAAGATCTCTAGGCCAGCAGAAGGTAATGTCGCAGGAACAGGGAGCAAAAATTTTGCTAGTGGATCACTAGGGGTGATGGCGAATGGTACCTATTCCACTCCCACCCCTTGATTTCCTGGACCCGTGAATCCTGACTATGGGAGAAACAGTACCATATATTGGACACTGATTCAGAGCATACATGACCTTCTGGAGAACTTTGCCCCAGCCCTGCAAAGTATTGTCACCTAGTTAGCGTTGTAATTGTGATTTCAAAAGGCCACTCCACCATTCTATCAATCCAACTGTTTCAGGATGATAGGGAACAGGGTAAAACCAGTGAATTTCACGAGCATGAAGCCCACTGCCACACTGCTTTAGCTGTAAAGTGAGTGCCTTGGTCAGAGGCAATGCTGTGTGGAATACCATGATGGTGGATGAAGCATCCCATGAGTCCACAGATGGTAGTCTTGGCAGAAGCATTGTGTGCAGGATAGGCAAACCCATATCTGGAGTAAATGTCTATTCCAGTGAGGACAAACCACTGCCCTTTACATGATGCAAGAAGTCCAATATAATCAACCTGCCACCAGGTAGCTGGCTGATCACCATATTGAGGGCTCAGTGTTGGTCTCTGCTGCTGGGAAATTGGGCACTCAGTAGTGGCTGTAGCCAGGTCAGCCTTGGTGAGTGGAAGTCCATGTTGTGGAGCGCATGCATAACCTCCATCCCTGCCACCATGGCCACTTTGTTCATGGACCCATTGGGCAATGACAGGGATGGCTGGGGAAAGAGGCTGAGTCGTGTCTACAGAATGGGCCATCCTATCCCTTGATTATTAAAATCCTCCTCTGCTGAGGTCACCTATTGGTGAGCACTCACATGGGATACAAATATCTTCACAGTTTTTGACCACTCAAAGAAGTCCATCCACATACCTATTCCCCAAATTTCTTTGTCACCAATTTTCTAATCGTGCTTCTTCGAAGTCCCTGACCATCCAGCCAAACCTTTGGCTACAGCCCATGAATCAGTATATAATTGCACATCCAGCCATTTCTCCTTCCATGCAAAATGCACAACCAGGTGCACTCCTCAAATTTCTGCCCACTGGAAGATTTCCCTTCACCTCTTTCCTTCGGGGATGTCCTAGAAAGGGGCTGAAGTGCTGCAACTGTCCACTTTTGGGTGGTGTCTGCATGTTGTGCAGAACCATCTATGAATCAGGCCCTAGTCTTCTCTTCTTTTATCAACTGATCATAGAGAACTCCCCATAAGGCCATTGGTGCATGCTGGGGGAGGTAGGAGGAAGGCAGGGTGGCAGGAGTGGGGACCATGGGTATTTGAGCCACTTCCTCATATAACTTACTTGTGCCTTCAGGACCTACTAGAGCTAGATCATGTACATACCACTTACATTTGATGATGGAATGCTGCTGTGCACAACCCACTTTATGGGTAGATGGGTCAGAAAGCATCCAGTTCATGATAGGCAGTTCAGGTCATCTGGTGACTTGATGACCCATAGTCAGACGTTCAGTTTCCACCAAAGCCCAGTAACAGGCCAAGAGCTGTCCCTCAAAAGGAGAGTTGTTATCTGCAGAAGACGGCAGGGTCCTGCTCCAAAATCCTAGAGGCCTCTGCTGTGATTCACTTATGGGAGCCTGCCAAAGGCTCCAAACAGCATCCCTATCTGCCACTGCCACCTCAAACTCCATTGAATCTGCTGGGTCATATTGTCCAAGTGGCAGAGCAGCTTGCACAGCAGCCTGGAGCTGTTGCAGAGCGTTCTTTTGTTCTGGACCCCACTCAAACTGGCAGCCTTTCGGGTCACTCAATAAAAGGGTCAGAGTAACACACCCAAATGAGGAATGTGTCGCCTCAAAAATCCAAATAGGCCCACTAGGCATTGTGCCTCTTTCTTGGTTGTAGGAGGGGCCAAATGCAGCAACTTATCCTTCACCTTAGAAGGAATATCGTAACAGACCCCACTCCACTGGAGCCCACACCACTGGACCCATAGAAATTTTACTGAGGTAGAAGGTCCCTGAATTTTAGTTGGATTTATTTCCCATCATCTGACACACAACTGTCTCACCAATAAGTTTAGTGTGTTTGCTACCTCTTGTTCACTGGATCCAATCAGCATAATGTCTTCAATGTAATGGACCAGTGTGATATCTTGCAGAAGCAAGAAGTGATCAAGTTCTCTCTGAATAAGATTATCACACAAAGCCGGAGAGTTGATTTACCCCTGACATAGGACAGTAAAGGTAAATTGCTGGCCTTGCCAGCTGAAGGCAAATTGCTTCTGGGGTCCTTATGGACAGGAATGGAGAAAAATGCATTTGCCAAGTCAGTGGCTGCATACCAGGTACCAGGAGATGTATTAATTTTGTCAAGCAATGAAACCACATCTGGTACAGCAGCTACAATTGGAGTCACTACTTGGTTATGCTTAGGAGAATCCATTGTCATTCTCCAAGATCCATCTGTCTTCTGCACAGGCCAAATGGAAGAGTTGAATGGGGATGTGGTGGGAATCACCACCCCTGCGTCTTTCAAGTCCTTGATGGTGACACTAATCTCTGCAATCCATCCAGGGATACAATATTATTTTTGACTCACTATTTTTCTAGGTAGAGGCAGCTCTAATGGCTCCCATTTGGCCTTTCCCACCATAATAGCCCTTACCCTACCAGTCAGGAAGCCAATGTGTGGGTTCTGCCAGCTGCTAAGTATGTCTATGACAATTATGCATTCTGGCGCTGGGGAAATGACCACAGAATGAGTCTGGGGACACATTGGACCCTCTGTAAGTCAGACCTGAGCTAAAATCCCATTAATTACTTGACATTCATAAGCCCCTACTTTAACTGGAGGACCACAATGATGTTTGGGTTCCCTGGAATTAATGTCAGCTCAGAGCCAGTGTCCAGTAGTCTCAGAAATGTCTGATTATTTCCCTTTCCCCAATGCTCAGTTACACTTGTAAAAGGCCAGAGGTCTTCTTGGGGAAGGATGGGAGAAAGATTCATTGCATAAAATGTCGGTAATATAGTGGGGTCCTTCCTCAAGAGGAACTGGCTTCCCCTTCATTCAAGGGGTTTGGGGTCTGTAAACTGGATAAAGTCTGGAAATTGATTGAGGAGCTGTGATTCTCTGTTTTTATAATTCAAAATAGTCTTTTGTCCATTCTACCTAGAAGTTTTCTCACTATATAAATTAAGTAGGAATGCAGTAGGCTTCCTATCAATTTCACTTCTAGGAACACTGTGATTAATTAGCCAATGCTAGAGGTCTACATGAGTCAGGCCATTCTGATTGCTGCTTTGTCTCTGCTGTCCATTATGGGAGCTACACCCACCTTGCCTTTGATGGTTGAGTGCCACCACTTGGCCCCTGCCACCTCAGGATCCAATTATTCCCATTGTATTTACATTTTATAGTTGAGTCACTGTGGTTCCCACTGTTAGATCTGACATACAGAGAAGAGCAATTACAGGGCTCTTCAAAGATGCAGGTGCTTCCCTCACAAATCTGTTTTGCAAGGCATTGGTCAAGGGTATGTCTTCTGGACCCTCCCAGTTGGGATGAGTAGGTTTGAAGTGACAAATCTACTCCACCATCCCAATCTCCCTAAGCCTTTGGATCCCTTCCTGTACATTAAACCAGGGGAGATCAGGCATTTCCAGCTTGCTCACAGTGGGCCATCTTTAAATACATATTTAGCTAACCAAGCAAATCAACTATTAGAACATTTTTTGACTCATCGAGCTGCAACATTAAAAGCAGAGTCCCTACTTAGTGGGCCCAAATCAAGAAATTTAGCCTGATCCAACTCTATGTTTCTTCCATCATTATCCAATACCCTTAATATGCATTCCCATGCCTGTTCTCCAGATTGCTGTTTATATAAATTAAAGAACTCAAAAAGTTCTTTTTGAGTGTAGAGCATCTCCTCATGGGTTACACTCTCAACCTCACCTCTAGGGGCCCACTGGGACTTTAGTCTAGTTATAGGCCTAGAAACAAACAGGGGTGTTGGGGTGGCTCCTGAGGAGAATCATTATCTTTCCTGGCAACTGCCTCAGGGGAGGCCATCACTGTTGCCTCAGGCAGCACAGGGTTTATCTCCTCAGACAAAGGTGGAAAGGCTGATGGAAGCATGGGTTGGGGCAGGAGGGATGTTGCCACTACTGGGGATGGGGAAGTTGTCCCTTCTGGCAACAAAGGTTCATCAGAGTTTACAAACTCAGTGTCCCCAGGTTTATCAGGGTCCTCCCACACATCCCCATTCCAAGTTGCAGGGTCCTGTTCTTTTCCAATCAATGCCCTCACTTTAACAGTAGACACCTGGTGAGGCTGTGCAGGCACCTTTTTTGGCAGGTCAGCCACTCACATGATAAGAGCTTGTGTCTGTTTTTCCACAATTTCAGCTCTTTCTGTTTCGCTCAGGGCAATCTTAGCAGATTTGAGGCTCAGTATCTGCTTCTGAAGCCATGGGACAGAATCTCTTAGTTCATCATTTTCTTTCATCAGTTTTTCAACGGAACTTAGGAACAATCAACCAGCTTCATTATGTTCCTTGGTTCTCCACATATGGTCAAAGGTATTATGTATAGAGTCACTAAGCTCCTTGCCTCTCACAAGCAGTGAGTGAATCAGGGTGTCAAATGCATTTATTTTGCATAACTCTCTAAACAGTTCATGTCAAGGGCTATCAGTGTTCTCTATGCTATTAGAAGTAGAGTCCTTAGCATTTTTGGGTCTAATCATATTAAGCAGCCAACTCCAGAAACCCCAAAACCAGTGAAAGAACTCCATCCTTAATATTCTATTCCTCTAGAACCATCCCTGGTACCCAAATCTGTATTAGTCAAGGTTCTCTAGAGGGACAGAACTAATAGAAATGGGAGTTTAGTAAGTATTAACTTACACTATCACAAGGTCCCACAATAGGCTGTCTGCAAGCTGAGGAGCAAGGAGAGCCAGTCAGAGTCCCAAAACTGAAGGACTTGGAGTCTGATGTTGGAGCACAGGAAGCATGCATCATGGGAGAACAATGTAGGCTTGGAGGCTAGGCCAGTCTCACCTTTTCACGTTTTTCTGCCTGCTTTATATTTGCTGCCAGCTGATTAGATTGTGCCCACCAGATTAAGGGTGGGTTGGACGACTCAAATATTAATCTCCTTTGGCAACACCCTCACAGACACACTCAGGATTAATATTTTGTATCCTTCAATCCAATCAAACTGACACCCCATATTAACCATCACAATAAGCATTCAATAATTGGTAGTTTTTGCTCTTAGTAAATTATTATAGCACCCAGTTTGAAAGTGAACATTTTTTTTATAACTTAATTCTAAAATTTTGAAGTATAAATACCATTTGACCCGGCCATCCCATTACTGGGTATATACCCAAAGGACTATAAATCATGCTGCTATAAAGACACATGCACACGTATGTTTATTGTGGCACTATTCACAATAGCAAAGACTTGGAACCAACCCAAATGTCCAACAATGATAGACTGGATTAAGAAAATGTGGCACATATACACCATGGAATACTATGCAGCCATAAAAAATGATGAGTTCATGTCCTTTGTAGGGACATGGATGAAATTGGAAATCATCATTCTCAGTAAACTATCGCAAGAACAAAAAACCAAACACCGCATATTCTCACTCATAGGTGGGAATTGAACAATGAGATCACATGGACACAGGAAGGGGAATATGACACTCTGGGGACTGTGGTGGGGTGGGGGGAAAGGGGAGGGATAGCATTGGGAGATATACCTAATGCTAGATGACGAGTTAGTGGGTGCAGCGCACCAGCATGGCACATGTATACATATGTAACTAACCTACACAATGTGCACATGTACCCTAAAACATAAAGTATAATTTAAAAAAAAATAGAAAAAAAAAAGTATAAATAAATGTACATAAAAGGCTACCCTTGGCTCAGCCTCCTTTACTTTGGCTCACATTCTACATTTTAAGCAAGAAGAAAAACAAGAATAGAATATTCTTCTTCATTAACAACTTTACTCTCCTCTTGGACCTACTGTGATCCAAGATTAAGTGAAAAGAAGAAGGAGAAGGAATTAATGAGATAACCAAAACATAAAGGGTACAGAAGAAGGAGGTTATTTGAGCTATGAAAGGAGCAGCTATGTTTTCCACCTGCTTACAATAGAGTAACGCCACCCTTAACAAAGAAGATGTAATCTCCCATACTCCATGCCTCATTTTATGTTACTAGTATTTCTATAACAATAAATGTCTTCAAGAAACTATTTTTACCAGTTATGATTAAAAATACATTTCAAATTATTTTGGAGTCCGGAGAGGTTAAGTATGTTTCTCCTCTGAGCAAGCAAGCCTTACGTGCAGGCAGGACCTCATGTCAAGGGGCTCAGGGTATTTGCAAGAAAAAAGTAATAATTGCAAGACCAAATAAATAATAGATATAAAAAATAATAAAAACCATTAGAATCAAGTGGAAACACAAGAAACGCTTGATCCAGGAGACATTAAAATGTAATTTTAATACCTGAATCAAAATAAACCAAAATGTAAACACAGGTGCAATGAAACAATCCCAATCGGTAAAGAATGGTGAGAATTCATAACAAATACACAAACTATGACTGGAACTGTATACTTCCATGCTGCTTATAAGAAACCAAGACTTCAACTATAATGACCCACATAAACTGAAAGCAAAGGAGTGGAAAAAGATATTCCATGCACTAGAAACTTAAAAAGACCAGGAGTAGCTATACTTTCTATACTTATATCAGATAAAAATAGACTACAAATCAAAGACAGTAAAAACTGACAAAAAATGTCACCGTGTAATGATAAAGTGGTCAATTTAGCGAGACACTACAACAACTATAAATATCTATGCACTGAACACCAGAGCTCCCATGTATATAAAGCAAATATTAGTAGATCCAAAGGCAGTGATGGACTGTAATGTAATCATAGTAGCGAACTTCAACACCCCACTCTCAGTAATAGACAAATTATCCAGATAGAAAATCAACAACAAAAAAATAAAAGTTAAACTAGACATTAGACTAATAGCCCTAACTGACATATACAGAATGTTTAACCCAGAATACATATTATTTTCAACAGCAAATGGAACATTTTCCAGAATAGGCCATTTCTTAGACAACAAAACAAGTCTCAACAAATCCAATACAGTAGAAATCGTATCAAATATCTTTTCTGACCAATATGGAACAAAACTAGAAATCAATTGCAAGGGGAACCTTGGAAACTGCACAAACACATGGAAATTAGACAACATGCTCCTGAATGACCAGTGGGTCAAAGAAGAAATTAAGAAGAAACATTTAAATTTTCTCCAAACAAATGAAAACTGATATATAACATACCCAAGTCTATGGAATACAGCAAAAGCAGCATGAAGAGGAAAGTTTATAGCAATAAATGCTTATGTCAAAAAAGTAGAAAAACTTCAAATAAGCAATCTACTGATTTACCTCAAGAAATAGAAAAGCAAGAACAAATTAAACTCAACCTTAATAGGAGAAAAGAAATAATAAATATCAGATTGTAAATAAGTAAAATTGAGCTAACAAAACAATACAGAAGTTCACTTAAGTGAAAAGTTGGTATTTTGAAGAGAGAAACAGAATTGACAGACTTTTGAGCTAGACTAACTAAAAAGAAAACAGAGAAGACCTAAATAAATAAAATCAGAAACAAAAAAGGAGACATAACAACTGAGACCACAGAAATACAAAGAATATTTCGAGACTATTACAGACAACTTTATGCCAACAAATTAGAAAACCTATAAGAAATGGATAAATTGGTAGATGCGTACAGCCTGCCAAAATAGAACCATGAAGAAACAGAAAATGTCAACAAACCTATAGGTAACGAGATTGAAACTGTAATAAAATGTCTCTGATCTAAGAAAAACCCTCATGGCTTCACTGGTGAATTTTATCAAACATTTAAAGAAAAACCATTACCAATTCTACTAAAAATCTTCAAAAAAAATTGAAGAAAAGGGAATATATTAAAGCTCATGCTACCAGGCCAGTGTTGCTCTGATACCAAAACCAGACAGAGACACAACAAAAAAGGAAAACTATAGGCCAATATCAGTGATGAACAGGGATGCAAAAATTATCAACAAATCCTGGCAAACTCAATTCAACTCCTCATTAAAAAGGTTTTCACTATGATCAAGTGGGATTTCATCCTAGGGATGCAAGGATGGCTCAAAATAAGTAAATCAATAAATTACTTATTATATTAACAGAACAATTATCACAATAAATTACATCACATTAACAGAAGCAAGAAAAAAACCCATATGACAATTTTAATAGATGCCGAAAAAGCTTCCGATAAAATTCAACATATGACAAACCTTCACCAAACTGGGTGTGAAGGAACATACTTTAAAATAATAAAAGCGATACATATGATAAACCCATAGTCAACATCATACTGAACAGGGAAAAATTAAAAGCCTTTCCTCTAAGATCTGAAACAGCACAAGAATTCCTGTTTTTAGCATTTTTATAGAATTATGTTTATTTAACATAATAGTGGAAGTCCTGGCCAGAGCAATTAGGCAAGAGAAAGAAAGAAAAGCGATCCAAATTGGCAAAAAAGAAGTCAAGTTCACCTTGTATGCAGACAACATGGTCTCATATTTAGAAATGCCTGAAGACTATCAAAAAACTGTTAGAATTGATGAAGAAATTTAGTAAAGTTGCAGGACACGAAATTAAGATACATCCCAACTAAAATGACTTGTATCAAAAAGACAGTAAATAACGGATGCTGGCAAGGATGTGGAGAAAGGGAACCTCATACACTGCTGGTGGAAATATAAATTAGTATAGCCACTATGGAAAACAGTATGGAGGTTTCCAAAACAACTAAAAATAGAGCTACCATGTAATACAGCAAATTCCACTGCTGGGTGTATACTCAATATATTGAAGATACATCTGCACTCCCATGTTTACTGAAGCAATATTTGTAATAATCAAAATATGAAATCACCCTAAGTGTTCATTAATAGACAAAAAAAGTGGTACATATGTACACACAAGGGATATTATTCATCAATAAAAAAGAATTAACTCCTGTCATTTCCAGCAACATGGATGGAACTGGAGGTCTTTATATTAAGTAAAAGAGGTCAAGCACAGAAAGATAAATTTTGCATGTTTCCACTCATATATGGGAGCTAAAAAATATCATGTCTTTGAGATTGAAGTAGATTGGTGACCACAAGTAAGATCAGTAAGGTGACTATGGTTAATATTAATTGATTGTACATTTCCAAATAGCTAGAAGAGAATAATTTGAATGTTCCTATTATGAAGAAAAGATGAATATTTAAGATGAATATCCCATTTACCTTGATTGGATTATATGAGTGTATTTTATTGATACCTATTAGATGTACATATTTTCAGGGTACATGTGAAATTATATTAAACTGTCACATGTAGTCTGAAAATATGTATGTCTACTAGGTATCAACAAAAAAATTCTTAATTAATAATTTAAAATCGTGTATTCTAAACCTTGGGATTCATCTTTTACTACACTGGAATATGAATTGACCCAAGAAGTAAGAGCAAACTAAACCACTTTTCCAGTGCAAATCTGAATTAGAAATTAATCTATTTTCTTAATTTGATGGATTGGTCAATTATTCCTCTGCTTTCCGATTTAGCCTAAAGTATATACTATGATTCTCAAACTTTCCCTAAAATGGGAATTAGCAATGTCTGGATTTCAAATTACTCTCCTGAAAGTCTGCATAAAACTTTAAAATGTATTTTAAACATTCTTTCAACACTGAAGTAATTAACTAAAGATAGCTAGTCAGGAAATTAAATGTCAAAGAAAACCAAATAATCAGAGAAGGTGCTGTCTGTTATATCCTCATGATAATTTGCAATGTAAATAAATGCAAAATATGATTCTGTAACCTACAAAAAGCACTGTGATAATATGGGCAACAGCTCTGACTTAGTTTGATCTTTTCCTCATTCATATAGTAAACATTTATTGAGCAACTTCTGTGAGTAAGTCACAGTTTTTGTTGCCATGAGGAATGTCAAGATATATAAAAAGGAGCTAAATAAGAAGGACAAGACATAGAAATGTACACAAGACAGAAAACCCTTTGGGTGTTCTAAAGAGGAGGAACCTATTTCTGGCTGACTATACAGAAAAATAAGGAAAGGGTTCATGTCATGAGGCTTATAAGTTAGTAAAGAGTAGTATCTGAGTCTTACCATTCTGGCTCTCCCCTTTGTACATGCATTCTGAAATAAAGTTATCACTTAAAAGGTCATTGAATGTATGAGTAAATGAGTAGATGAATGCATTTTGTGTATATGTATGTCCACGGAACAGGCTGCCATTCAAAAGAAAAAGGATGTATCTGCTACCCTCTTAAAAAAGACATTTGCATGTTGTGTAACCAGAAGTGGGTCAGATGTATTCCAAGGGAGAATCTGATTTAGCAGTAAAATATGAAATGAAGACCACTTGAAAAACACATGTACAACTTCCATTAGGTAGCTGCTTCCCACACTTCATATATAGGCACTTGAATGTGTAATTTCTGGTGTACATAATAGCTATTCAACAAATAAATGTATAAATATATGCAGAAGTGAAGGTTGAATGTTAAACAGTATTTGCTATCAAATCAGCCTGTTCATTTCCATTTTAGCATATTCTAAAATGATCATACTATTGTTACTTGCCCCTCATTTGCTGCCCACTAGGATGTCAGGCTCCATGCAGGCAGGGCCTTTTTTGGCATCTTTATCACTGTATTGTTCATGTATTGTACAGTGCCCGATGCATAGTGTAACTCAAATGGTGCAGTATGAGTAAAAGCATTAATGTAGAAGCATGGCAGAGTGGAGAAGACAGTAAAATTCACTATTATAAACAAGAAAATTTGCCTTGAAAAACAGACTCATCACTGATAAGTGATATTTGTTGAGTTTTTATGGTTTATGTGTCATTGAGCAGGATACTATATGGGATTTAAATACTAAAAACCAGAAAAAGAATATGAAAAATTATAGATTTTGTTTATAATTCATATTCATAAAATGAAGACAATATAATCTTCTCCACTATAAGCCATCAAGACAGAAAAATAGTTTTTCATTAAACATTTTGATTTGACTAGAGAATGTTGCTATGTAAAGAAGACAAATTTTTAACAGCTAGAATGAAAAATAGTGAACTAAGTTTAAAAAAAATTTAGTTCTACTTTTTGTACTACACTAAAATAATCTAACCACAAAATTAGTTATTAAAAATATTTTAAAAGGCAGCATGCATCCCTGTCAAATCAGAATCAGATTCATCGTAGGCTTTCCTTAATCTAAAAATAATTGGAAGGGCACTGTCATTAATCATAAAGGTGAAGCTACTTTATTATAGCTCAATTACCAAACTATTTTTATTTTGGAACTCATAAAAGCAGAATAATAATGAAGCAAAACATTAAAAAAATCACCTCTGAGAATACAATAAACATTTGGTTATTTCAAATAAAATATTAATGTGTCTTTAACATCTGTTCATATGTTCACATCCTTGCTTTTAGTTGTATTGTACCGAGTCTGAGAACACAAGAACATTACTGCAGCTAAGAGCCTGCAATCTTGTAAAATTCAAAAAACACACAAAACTATTTTCAAAGAAAGTTAACCAACATAGAAAAGTATAGGCCATTATTTATTAATAAATAACTGTGTTCACTCAATAAGTAATATTCACTGATTATGAATATATTCTGGTTGTAATTTCAGTGGTACTGGGAAGATTCATTTCCTTCAATATCTGCTCTATGCAAGGGCCAGAGATTCTCAGTGCTCACACATTATTTAGGTTATACTTTTTCCACCACTTCTGACCACGAATAATTGTTCAAATCATGCTAATAATCCTGTAGTGACACGTAAGAACACGAACCCTTAGGAAGAATTAGATCCTGCTGGATCAAAGCCACAGGAAAGCTCCAGATGAGTAGAAAATATGGATAATAAAGTAGGTATTGATGGAGCATAACTCAAAATAATAAGAGCCATTTATGACAAACCCACAGTCAATATCATACTGAATTGGCAAAAGCTGGAAGCATTCTCCTTGAAAACGGCCACAAGAAAAGGATGCCCTTTCTCACCACTCCTATTCAACATAGTATTGGAAGTTCTGGCCAGGGCAATCAGGCAAGAGAAAGAAATAAAGTGTATTCGTATAGAAACAGAGGAGGTCAAATTGTCTGTGTTTGCAATGACATGATCCTATATCTAGAAAACCCCATCGTCTCAGCCTAAAAGCTACTTAAGCTGATAAGTAACTTAAGCAAAGTCTCTGGATACAAAATCAATGTGCAAAAATCACAGGCATTCCTATACACCAACAGCAGAGAAGCAGAGAGCCAAATCATGAATGAACTCCCATTCACAATTGCTAAAAAGGGAATAAAATATCTAGGAATACAGCTAATAAGGGAAGGGAAGGACCTCTTCAAGGAGAACTACAAACCACTGCTCAAGGAAATTGGAGAGGACAAAAACAAATAGAAAAACATTCTATGCTCATGGATAGGAAGAATCAATATGAAAATGGCCATACTGATGAAAGTAATTTGCAGATTCAATGCTATTCCCATTAAATTACTGTTTACATTCTTCAGAGAATTAGAAAAAAACTACTTTAAAATTCATATGGAACCAAAAAAGAGCTGGTATACCCAGAATAATCCTAAGTAAAAAGAATAAACCTGGAAGCATCATGCTACTCAACTTCAAACTATACTATGAGGATACAGTAACCAAAACGGCATGGTGCTGGTACAAAAACAGACACATAGACCAATGGAACAGAATAGATAACTCAGAAATAAGACCACACATCTACAACCATCTGATCTTCAAAAAACCTGACAAAAACAAGCAATGGGAAAAAGATTCCCTATGTAATAAATGGTGCTGGGAGAACTGGCTAGGCCATATGCAGAAAATTGAAACTGGACCCCTTCCTTACACTTTATACAAAAATTAACTCAAGATGGATTAAAGACTTAAGTGTAAAACCCCAAACCATAAAAACCCTAGAAGAAAATCTAGGCAATACCATTTAGGACATAGGCATGGGCAAAGATTTCATGATGAAAACATCAAAAACAATTGCAACAAAAGCAAAAATTGACAAATAGAATCTAAGTAAAATAAAGAGCTTCTGCACAGCAAAAGAAACTATCATCACAGTGTACAGGCAACCTACAGAATGTGAGAAAATTTTTGCAATCTGTCCATCTGTAATGGTGTAATATCCAGAATCTACAAAGGTAGATTACAGACCTATCCAGAATATACAAAGAATTTAAACAAATTTACAAGAAAAAAAAACTACCCCATTAAAAATGGGGCAAAGTAGGTGAACAAACATTCCTCAAAAGAAGACATTTATGTGGCCAAGAACCATACGAGAAAAGCTCAACATCACTGATCATTAGAGAAATGCATATCAAAACCCCACAATGAGATACCATCTCATGCCAGTCAGAATGGCAATTATTTTTTATTATTTTTAAATTATTATTATACTTTAAGTTTTAGGGTACATGTGCACAATGTGCAGGTTAGTTGCATATGTATACATGTGCCATGCTGGTGTGCTGCACCCATTAACTCATCATTTAGCATTAGGTATATCTCCTAATGCTGTCCCTCCCCCCTCCCCCACCCCACAACAGAGCCCAGAGTGTGATGTTCCCCTGCCTGTGTCCATGTGTTCTCATTGTTCAATTCCCATCTATGAGTGAGAATATGCGGTGTTTGGTTTTTTGTCCTTGCGATAGTTTACTGAGAATGATGATTTCCAATTTCATCCATGTCCCTACAAAGGACATGAACTCATCATTTTTTATGGCTGCATAGTATTCCATGTGTATATGTGCCACATTTTCTTAATCCAGTCTATCATTGTTGGACATTTGGCTTGGTTCCAAGTCTTTGCTATTGTGAATAGTGCCACAATAAACATACGTGTGCATGTGTCTTTATAGCAGCATGATTTATAGTCCTTTGGGTATATACCCAGTAATGGGATGGCTGGGTCAAATGGTATTTCTAGTTCTAGAGCCCCGAGGAATTGCCACACTGACTTCCACAAGGGTTGAACTAGTTTACAGTCCCACCAACAGTGTAAAAGTGTTCCTGTTTCTCCACATCCTCTCCAGCACCCGTTGTTTCCTGACTTTTTAATGATTGCCATTCTAACTGGTGTGAGATGTTATCTCATTGTGGTTTTGATTTGCATTTCTCTGATGGCCAGTGATGATGAGCATTTTTTCATGTGTCTTTTGGCTGCATAAATGTCTTCTTTTGAGAAGTGTCTGTTCATATCCCTTGCCCACTTTTTGATGGGGTTGTTTTTTTGTTTGTTTTGTTTTGTTTTTTGTAAATTTGAGTTCATTGTAGATTCTAGATATTAGCCCTTTGTCAGATGAGTAGGTTGCGAAAATTTTCTCCCATTTTGTAGGTTGCCTGTTCACTCTGATGGTAGTTTCTTTTGCTGTGCAGAAGCTCTTTAGTTTAATTAGATCCCATTTGTCAATTTTGGCTTTTGTTGCAGAATGGCAATTATTAAAACGTCAGGAAACAACAGATGCTGGCGAGGCTGTGGAGAAATAAGAACACTTACACTGCTGGTGGGAATGTAAATTAGTTCAACCACTGTGGAAGACAGTGTGGTGATTTCTTAAAGACCTAGAGCCAAAAACACCATTTGCCCCAGCAATTTCATTGCTGGGTTTACACCCAAAGGAATATAAATCATTCTGTTATAAAGATACATGCTTGCATATGCTCACTGCAACACTATTCACAATAGCAAACACATGGAATCAACCCAAATGCCCATCAATGATAGACTGGATAAAGAAAATGTGGTACATATACAACATGGAATACTATGCAGCCTTAAAAAGGAATAAGATCATGTCCTTTGCAGGGACATGGATGGAGCTGGAAACCATTATCCTCAGCAAACTAATGCAGGGGCAGAAAACCAAACAGTGCATGTTCTCACTTACAAGTGGGAGCTGAACAATAGGAACACATGAACATAATGAGGGGAACAACACACACTGGGACCTATAGGGAGTGGGCGGTCGGGGGAAGGAGAGCAACAGCAAAAAATAGCTAATGCATGCTGGGCTTAATATTTAGGTGATGGTTTGACAGGTGCAGCAAACCACCGTGGCACACGTTACCTATGTAACAAATCTGCACATCCTGCACATGTACCCTGGAACTTAAAAAAAAAAAAATGTGTATAAAGACAGAGTATCCAGAGAAGGAGGTGGAACTACCAAAGATGGATTTCGCCCACTTTAAAACTATGTCTAGAACTGGCTCTAAGAAGAGTTATATTAAATAGTAAATTCAACATGGATTAAAATTTTAAAATAAGATAATTTTTTTTTCATCTTGAATTCAAATTTTTTTACAGGCAACATGCATACTTGTTGAGTCTGGGCATATATGTTAAGGCAAATTACTCTTAGGGTAAGGTCTTAGAGGTCCTCTACACAACTGATTTCTTTGTTCTCTTCCAGTTTCTTCAATGTCCTCTCTGAAGTAAACCTCCAGGTTACAGAGAAAAAGAAGGTGGTCAGGTAGCTGAGTAGCCTTCAAAGAGTTATCTCGGAGAGCAAATAGATCTTTCTATTTGGTTCTATAGCTAAACTTCTGCACTCCTCACAGAGCTGGGAACATTGCAGAGGCTACAAATATATTTTTAAAGAGGGTGAATGAGTTCTTTCTAGATGTAAACGTGATATGTGCAGCAACATGAGAACACACTCCATATTCTGAAAATACAATGCACTTTTCAGTTTCTAAGGACATTGCTAAGTTGCAAAACAAAACAAACACTTTGCAGTTACATACATGAACAATTCAAAGTGTAGTTTTTTGGTATCTCTGGTAATTGTAAAGGATACAAGAGTCACTTCTTTATATTCACGTTTTGATTCAGAAAATGTTTATTTGGTTTCTACCACATGGAAGAAAATCTACTAGGAATTTAATAGGAGAATGCAAAGATGAGGAGGCATGGCATATAGGTCCTCAAACAACTTGTGTCTGGTATCAGTGTGTTGCCAAGAATCCCCTAAAAATCATAATTTAATAGCATTGTAGAACATTTAAGAACATTATCAAAATAATAATTTGAGATAGATGTGCTGTTAAAAATTACAAAATGTCATTTAATTCAAATTCAACACATGAATTAAATATATAATGTGTAAGGCACCAAATGAAACTCTGCAGTAGAAACAAAAATAAACATACAATTTCCAATGTTAATTAAATTATGATCTAGATAAATCACTGATTTATATATACAAATTACTGTCAGCAAGGCAAAATGTTAAATTAATATTGCCAAGTTAAGATGCAACAATTCAAAACAAGAATGATTAAAAATCTTTTCATTCATTATCTACTTTAGCAGAATTCTGAGGCAGATAACATTATTATTATGGATTAGAAATTAGAGTTTTAGAAAGTGAAAACATGTAAGAAGCACATGTTTCCAGAAAGCAGAGGTTCAGGGGTAGAGGGTGGAGCAGGTGACAGAGATATCAACCACTTGAAATCCCTGAAGTATGACTAGACTGTTTAGAATGTTAAGATACCTAGGAAGGCAGATTGGATTCCAGTTACAAGGAATCTTGTTAAGTAAATGAGGTGAATTTGAAGAGCCCAAGAGTGTAAGAACGGTCAAGTTAACTGGAATGTAAAGAATAAGTAGTGAGTGATAAAGGTTGGAAAAGCAAAGAAAGGTCAGATCATGGCAGGACTTGAAGATATAAACTACCTTAATAGCATCTAAATTTATGTTTCCACTCCTACTTCTCATTTCCCATGTCCTTCTGCTCAAATTAATTTAACAAACAGCTTCCAGATCAATATTTTATAAGTAAAGCCCAATGATATAATCCTACTGCTAAATAAAACCAGTTAACCTACAAAGTACCTAAAATATAGATATCTCAGAATACTAGGCTCTTGAAATTATGGCTGCAACCTTTCACAAACTCAAGTCACAAATGCCTATTTCCTCTCTGTTCCAAATAAACTCCAAACAATATCACTCCTAGGACTTCATTTGGAATAAATCTTTGATCTGGAACCATTTCCATATTTAAAGGCTACTTCGAATGCCATCTCTGTCATGGACTTTCCTCTCTCCTTTAAGCACAAGGTAGTATACAATCAACAAGAACTTGGAATGTTCTTCAATTTCAGCATGCAGTGGTTATGAGTGATCTTTCCAGATTTCCTTTTTAACTTGGCATACGCACAACAAACAGTTCTGCTAGAATTTCAGAGGTTTTTCTTAAAATGGAAAAGTGATTTTAAAATTATGAAGAAAATTTACCACGTTTCTTTTAAAATTACTAAATAGGATGCATGATGTATGTTCTATCATAACCAAGAATAATTGTTATCCCTTTGGTGCAGCTAATAGACATATGTGAAGAAAATATTTTGCCTTATGAGACAGAAATTTACCTAGCTATTAAAAAAAAGTAACAACTTGCAGTGCAAAACATCTGTCTCCTAAGAATTCCAAGATATTCATTCATAAAGGTAGATTTTGAATCTCTTTGGTGGATCCCAATACATCTCAAACCCAATCAGTGTCAAGGTTTATATGGAAGCCACTAACCTCCTTTTGGCCAAACTACATCACTGTGGGCTGAAACTTGCTTAGACAACTTTAATTAAGAGGAGCCAGCTTGTGCCATAGGCTCCAATTTCAACCCTCTTTGCTCCTGTTTTTCTCTTGGGAATCATATGTCCTTGAATCAGTGCTTCATATCTTAGCTCACATCTTAAGATTTGACTTGTGTCTCCTACTCCTACATTATCTGCCACAGCCCTGTGCAGGAATCCTTGCCACACTTCTTGCTCTCCTGCGACACAGGGGCCTAGGATCATGACTGCCCTGAGTACCATTCTGTGATGTTCCATCACATGCCAGGAAGCAGTTTGGATTCCCCAACTGAGCAGAATTCCTCTGTAAATATCTCAAATACATTTTCCTGGGATTGACCTCTCCTTTCTTTTAAAAAATATTCAGTGAACACTACTTTGTGCCAGGTACTAGTATAGATGAGACAGGGCTTCTCACTTCCCACAGGAGGAGCCAGATGATAAAAAAATTAAACCACTTTGCAACCAAGAAAATTCAGGTAGTGATAACTGCTATGGGAAAAAGCAAAATAAGCTAATCAAGAGAGTGACAGAAGGCAGTTACATTAAATTAGGTGGGAAGGGAGACTTCTTTGAGGGTGTAGCTTTTGAGCTGACACCTGAGTAATGAGATGGAGCCAGTCAAGTGCAGATATGGGAAAAATCATTCAAACAGAAGGAATGATAGACATAAGGATCCTGAGCTGGGAATCAGATCAGTATGTTCATGAACAGAGGGAAAGACAGGCTGGAGAACAGAATTAGGGAAGATGGCAGGAAACAAGGCCAGGGAGGTAGGCAGGCATGAGAGTATGTCATGCCTTGTAGGCTGAGTCTTGTAATTTGGATTTTATTCTCATTGAAATGGCAAAGACATTGAAAAATTTGGGGAGAAATGTGATCTAATTTAAGTTTTCCAAATCTCCCTGGCTGACTTATAGAGAATGGAATTTTGGTAGCAAAGAGGAAACAATATGAACACTGCTGCAAAAGCAAGTGATGTTTGTGGTTTGGGCTGTGGCTTCGAACCAGGAAACTCTGAGAAGTGATCTTTAGGAAACGATTTGCAGGTAGAAGTGACAGGGCCAGATAAGGGATGCATGTGTATATGTGTGTGTTTATTTATGAATCTGTATGGATCTATGTGTTTGGGCTGCGGAAGATGAATGTACAAGAGGCAGGATGACATGTAGGACTCCTGTTTAAACAACTCAGCCAATGATGGAAAAAAAAGAAAGAGAAATGAATAGCTCTCTTAAAAGTCTGAGACCACTACATTAATCTCATAGTTCCCTGTCAGGTAGGCAGGTATCTTAGGTTTCCTCAAGAAAAATGATCTCATAATTTTGGACTCATCTAGTTACCAAAAGAGATCTATTAACTACAATAAAATTAGTTGAAACAACATGTCCAATAAAATTATATGCAGTGTCGAGAACATATTGTCGAAGATCTAGAAACGGGCAAAAGAGATAACTGGGTTTCCTTTCAGGAAAATGCCAGGAGGTAGAGTGTTCTAGCAGCTCTCAGGGGATTATCAACTCTATAGGGTTGTGAGTCTTATGATTGACTAGACTGTTTTACAGCTTAATAGGTGTAGAAGTTAAGTGGTAGAAGAATGAGAGTAATACAAATGATTTTTGCCATAGCAATGTAAATGAATTTTATTCAGTAGAGGTACAACTGATTTCTACCCTCTAGAAAAGATGAGTCCTAACATTATATTTTGTTGCCTATGAATATTAACATTTTGTAACTATTAACAAATTCATTTTAACATTCCTGATTGTATACATATATATATATCCGTATCTGTATATCTATCTATCTGTCTTCAAATTCCCATTTGAATTTGTATTGGCATCTTAATTGTTCTGGCCTTAATTAATGACTTAAATAAATAAAATATTTGGCGTGTTTATATCTGAATAGGAATAATTTATTTAGCTTTTGAAGTTACATTTTAACAAGAGTAAAAATAGTGCAGACATTTTTGAAGTCCAAATAGAAACTTATATGCTCTTTGTTGGTGTCTCTTTTTAAAAATATACATACATATTTTAAGAGACAGGGTCTTACTCTTGTCACCCAGGCTGGAGTGCAATGGTGAAATCACAGCTCACTGACCTCCTCGGTTCAAGCAATCCTCCCACCTCAGCCTTTCTAGAAGCTGGGACTATAGGTGTGTGCCATCACACCCAGCTAATTGTTTGTATTTTTTTGTAGCAATGGGGGTCTCACTATGTTGCCTAGACTGGTATCAAACTCCTGGGCTCAAGTGATCCTCCCACATCAGCCTCCTAAAGTGCTGGAATTACAAGTGAGAGCCACCATACGTGGCCCTTTTGTGGTGTCTCTTCAAATGCTAATTCCTGACAATGACACAAGAGAGGACAGAAGTAAGTAAACTTTTAATAGTTAGGATCAAAATTGATTGGTAGAGTTATGGATAATATTTGAGTACAAATAGAATTGATCCTAAGACATTCATCCTATAGGGGAATTTTTTTTTGAGGGAGCTCATTATTTCATAAAAGGCATTATAAACAGCTCTGAGAAAACCAGCTTAACTGCTGTCATAAATTCCGTTGCTACATTTACATATTAAAATTCCCAATGCAGTTTACTTTTATGTATCTGACATTTATATAATAGATATAACAACCATTGTTTAGAAGTACACTGTATACTTGTATTTTGTCTGTCCTTTGATTTCTTCTCCCTTGCTTCCTGATGAAAAGAAAAATAATTCTCCCAAGTAATTCCACACAACTTATTTTCTGATTTGAACCAACAATCTTGGTTGTTGACAGGATTCCTGAGGGCTTAAAAATGTCAGTTTGTTCATAGTTTCAAGCAGAGTGATCTAGGAAAGCAATTTCTCATAAAATACTTTTCTTCTTCTCTTTAAACATTTTTTTTTTCCTTAAGAATTGCTTTTTCTTCTTGGTATAAAAATAATTTGCTTTGTGGTTATTGGGATGTGAGTCACTTCTGTAAGTCACTTTTAACTATGTTCCCCTGGCTGGGTGAAACAAAGTAAAAAGAAAGCCAGAGTTTATCCCTTCATCCTTTTCTAGTTGTCTTTTTCTTCACTTTTTCATCTGCCTGCTTTATGCTTTTCTTGAACTGTCGACACTAGGGGCTGTGCTTGCTCTCCAAAGTTAAAATGAAAAGAAATCCTAAATGTAGCCCCCATGTTTTAATGACTTGCAAATCACCATGCATGAAGACAATGATGCAGGCACACATTGAAATTTCACACCAAGAGGACTCCTTTGCACATCAAACGGCATTTTTAGGTGCATAAAAAATTGTGCCTAAAAGAAAAGAATGTTAAGATCTTAAAGATAATTTTAAAACACCATGTGTTACAGTGGACTAGGAGCCCTGACTTTGCACGTTGTCTCCAATGAGAATTTCAAAGTAAAAAAGGAAAAAAAAAAAGCAATGGAAGTGGTTTTAAACACACACCATACACACACACACACACACACACGTCAGTAAGTATGATTTATATATTTGATATGCCAGACTCTCCAAGTTCTATTTTAATTTACATAAATCTACATTTCTCCTTGACCTCAATAATAGTAATAATGCACTTATAATATTTTGCATAAATTGTGCAATTTATTTTCACACACGTTATTATAGCTGAGTTCAGTAGCCGTTCCATGAGGAAACAAAGGCAGTATTAAAATTATTTTGGCGACTTGAATTACAGCTGTTTTGTTTTTCTGTATAGTGATTTCTAATTCCTTATTTTCTCTTCTAAAATTTGTTTACTTTATCAATTATAAAAATGTTAAGGGTATTTTAATAGTTCAGGTTATGTATATAATTTAGAAGTTCTGATGTTTAAACCTTCATACATTAGAGGAGAGGCATCAGCAAAATGAAGTGGTATCCAATATATCCAATATTTGATGATTCACTAAAAAATAATTGTAAGTATTACCTCTCATCAATTCCATAAACTAGGTAAAAACCATTAGATTAAGTTTTTGCCAATAAGATATTTTGTAATATAGACATATATAG
This sequence comes from Homo sapiens, assembly GCF_000001405.40. Taxonomy (NCBI): domain Eukaryota; kingdom Metazoa; phylum Chordata; class Mammalia; order Primates; family Hominidae; genus Homo; species Homo sapiens. The sequence continues at coordinate 113,947,140 of NC_000004.12, forward strand.
TCAAATATTTTAAATTGTGATATTTAGGTCTTCCAATAGGGATTTAAAATTGAAAAATAGGCCAGATGTGGTGGCTGAGACCTGTAATCCCAGCACATTGGGAAGCCAAGGGAGGAGGATAACTTGAACCCAGGAGTTGGAGATCAGCCTGGGCAACATGGCAAACCCCATTTCTACTAAAAATACAAAAATTAGCTGGGTATCTTGGCATGCACCTGTGGTCCCAGCTGCTTGGGAGGTTGAGGCACGAGAATCGTTTGAATTTGGCAGTTGGAGGTTGCAGTGAGCCGAGATTCTGCAGTTGTACTCCAGCCTGGGCAAGAGAATGAGATTCTGTTTCAAAAGAAAGAAAGAGGAAAGAAAAAAGAAAGAAAGAGAGAGAGAGGGAGGGAGGGAGGGAAGGAAGGAGAGAGGGAGAGTGAGGGAGGGAGGAAAGAAGGGAAAGGAAGGAAGGAGAGAGGGAGAGAGAGGGAGGGAGGAAGGAAGGGAAAGGAAGGAAGGAAGGAGAAAAAATTGAAAAATAACTTTTATCTTCATTGGGTAGAGAATAATCTACCTGAGCAACTAAAATTTAAAAAGTATATGGACTGTATTTTATAAGTTATTTCATAAATTTTACCCTTTTTTGTTCATTAAGCTTGAGAAATTATATACTTTTTTAAGTGTAGTATGGCAAAACATATTATCCAATTTGTCTGAATATGGATATTTTCTTTAATTACGGCATTTTCAAAAGTAAGCTTTTAAATGTTTAATCAAAATACATTGGCCAGGCATGGTGGCTCGTGCCTATAATCCCAGCACTTTGGGAGGCTAAGGTGGGTGGATCACTTGAGGCCAGGAGTTCGAGACCAGCCTGGGCAACATGGTGAAACCCCATCTCTAATAAAAATACAAAAATTAGCAGAGTGTGGTGGTGCACACATGTAGTTCCAGCTACTTGGGAGGCTGAGGCACAAGAATCTCTTGAATCCAGGAGGTGGAGGTTGCAGCCAGCCGAGATTGTGCCACTGCACTCCAGCCTGGGTGACAGAGCGAGATTCTGTCTTAAAAAAAAATTAACATAGTATTTTGTTTATTATATTAGGAAGTAGTGGGCTTGTGAGTTATTTACAGCTTCAACCCACTGTCTTATTTATATTAGCCTGAGTAGGAAATTACCTGTTGAAATTTATATTCTCTCATAACTATAGATCAGTAAATCCAAATGGTTTACTGACATCAACAGGAAATTTGAATCAGGAAAAACTTTAAAATTGTTATTCTTTTCTTCAGAAATTTTCTTAGCATTAACAAAGATTTGAGTATTCTCTGGAACCCTAAAGGTATATTAAGTGTCATATTTTACAGTATCTAGGCAGCTTTATTTATTTTAAAACTAAACCACTTATCCTTTATTATGCTACGATAATAGTTGCAAGCGTACTATATTCTAGAATTTTTTTTCCAGACACATTGTTAATGTTATCATTGGTCTTGAGTCATTTATTATGCTTCACTGATTTTAGCTATATGTATATGTCTAAGTGATCATACTTTAGAACCAAGTTTCATAGCACATATTGGAAAACCTAACAATTATATTAGTGCAGGAGCTGAAAGGAAACAATCCAGCACTGTGACATGGAGGAGTTGGCTGTAGCCATTCCACATCCTCTTCTAGGCCTCTTGGTATTTGGCTTTGTTCTTGGAATTTTCTGTATCTCTTCATTGCAACAGATGCTCAAAGAGTTTGTTAAAATCCACCTTTAAGAAATGTGCTACATCCTATTCACAATAGCAAGGACTTGGAACCAACCCAAATGCCCATCAATGATAGACTGGATAAAGAAAATGTGGCACATACGCACCATGGAATACTAAGCAGCTATAAAAAAAGAATGAGTTCATGTCCTTTGCAGGAACATGGATGAAGCTGGAAACCATCATTCCCAGCAAACTAACACAGGAACAGAAAATCAAACACCACATGTTCTCACTCATAAGTGGGAGTTGAACAATGAGAACATATGGGCACAGGGAGGGGAACATAACAGGGGGTTGCGGGTGGGGTGAGGGGCTAGGGGAGGGATAGCATTAGGAGAAATACCTAATGTAGATGGCGGTTGATGGGTGCAGCAAAACACCATGGCATAAATATACCTAATGTAACAAACCTGAACGTTCTGCACATGTATCCCAGAACTTAAAGTATAATAATAATAATAAAACAACAACAACAAAACGAAATATGCTACATCTTCCCTAGCACTTTTTTTCTGGCTAGAATTGAAGATCTGGTGAGTACCAGAGACTATCTCTTTCCTTTATGCTTGACTTTCATCAAAGGCGGTAAAAAAAGGCTCATGGACACAACTTGAGGTGGTGGACGCTGGACCTTGCCATTTCCGAAAGAAGTTCAAGAATCTGTACCCAGTGAACAAGGACTAGCCTTTCATCATTCCATAGGTATTTACTGATGGCTCCCTTAAGGCCCAACTTAAACGTAGACAGAGATGATGTTACTAGCTGAGTGTTATTGCGGATTTAGTCCATGCCAGTCTCTGTACTAAGGACTTTACCTCCCTTTCCCTATTTGCTCCTCATTGCCCCATGGGATAGATATATTAGTGTCATCTGAATATGAAGAAATGAAGGCAAAAAGAGTGAAAACTGATGATCTCTTCACTGTTAATGCACTTTTGCGATCTGTACTCCACTCCAAGTATATTTTGTTAGATCCTTATGTCTTGGAACACCCTTGAGAAGTAGAAGAGCATTGCTATGGCACACAGTTTGTCTTCCCCTTAATTTTAAAAGCTCTTTGGTGGACATAAAAGAGGTGTTGGAGATGTTCTTTCCTCTAGTTTCCCCCCAACTTTTAATCTGGAAATGGAGGCAGACACTGTAGAAGCCCAGGCTCTGGGGGTTCATAGAAATAGATGCTATACAGATGTAAGCTATATGGTTCTCGGGAAATAAAATGAAGTTCTAATAAAATGTACTGAAAAGTGATTACACGGCCCTAATAATGTGGGACTGTCTGAAAGGAGAAACCTGTTTCTGAAAGAACAGCTTCTCCTTTTCCCTCCCTTTGAAGTGATTTCAGCTGCCCAGAGCTGCCCTGAAGGAAATCCATCATAGAAAAGAAAGAATAGTCCTATTCTAACCCTCCCCCTTCCTTTTATGCTCCCCTAATACCTGCCTCTGCTGCAACCTCATCATTGCTTTATGACTGGCTGGTGAAGGGAAAAGCTATTCCTAGCATAGCAGATGTAGGAAGCCCCATCCAGATGAGCCCTGGAGCTGGCAGTAGGTTTGGTTTGGTAATGAGGAAACAGCTCAAGAGAAGCATGGGAAAGGGACATTGAACTATTCACTGAGAAACATTATCCAACAGTTGTGAGACAAATCTTGAAAGAGAGAGAAAGAGGGAAAAAGGGTGAATATAAGATGAGGGAAAGGGAAGAAAGAGAGGGAGAGGAAGAGGGGAGAGATAGTAATTTTGCTTCAAAAGGCCTGCAAATTCTGGAAGTATATAAATTCTGTTTGGTTTTGTAATGTGAATATTAAAATATTACACATCAGCCCCTTAAACTTATGCTAAAGTGACTGTATTCTCTTTATTTTTATAGCTATTAAGTCTTGCACATTAAGAGCGTATGCTTTCCTGATTATACCGTGACTAGGCATAAGAATGGGAATTATTTTCTCTGGAGTTTGTTATGAGGCAGCACCCTATTCTTAAAGAAATTTGCATACAGTTGAAGCACTGGTATACTGACGTGGTGTCCTGTTGTTCTGTTTATGGCACCAAACACTGCCAACACTGCCCAAGACTAAGAATTGGGAGAAAGGATTGGGAATAAAGGGAAATAAATGGAAGTTTTAAAAATGCTTGAAGAAACAAATAGAAACCAGAATCATAAAAGATAAAGATTTATGAGAAGGCATTAGAAACCCAGGGCAGTACAGCTATAAAGGCCCATACTTGTTACTTAGTAGTACAGCTGTCAAAAATGCTTCCAATATGGGGAAGTTCAATATCTCACCAGACAGCTCATTTTATTTCTGAAGAGTTTACTAATATAAGGTTCTCATTTGGATTAATCCAGGCTCTTCTTGTCTGGAATCTTAACAAATCTGGAATCTCTTCTATGTTAATGTTCTTCAAATATGTGAAGACAGTTACCACGTTTCTGAGTTGTTTCAGTTATTTCAGCCAATCCTCATGCTCTCTGGTTGCCAGATCTCCTTGGCACACACTTCAGTGTGTCAGTGTCCCTCTTACAATCTGGCACTTTGAATTGAACATAATCCTTCAGATGTGGTCTGGACAGTGTAAAGTTCAATGGGACTACTCCCTTTCTTGATCTGAAGTCGACACTTTATTAAGACTCACACGAGCTTATTTGGCAGCACGTCATACTGTTGGCACACGGTGAACTTGCAGGCAGCTAAAACCCCAAGTTATTTCTTTTTTCTATATTCACTGTTCTTAAGCCAGTTGTCCTCTCTCGTAGAAGAGGAGTTTATTTTATGAATCTACAGAGAGAATGTTTTGTTTCTTGACGCCTTCTCTCATTCTTCCTGCTCTTTAAAGATCTAGAAGATACTTAATTTTGTCCTTCAATATGTTAGCTATCCCTCCTGTTAATTCTGGTAAATATGTGTCTTCATCTGAATCATGCGTTTAAGAGTTTGAGGGGACAGAACTAACTCAGAACAAAGCCTTATAAATTGTTATTGAATAACTGCCCTTAGGTTAACTTTGATTTGTTACTCAATTCCCTTTTTAATGTCACGTTCAACTTTTTACTTATCATTCAGTTTATTTTTTTTCTGATTAAAAGGATTGTCTTTTCTACAAGGCTTGTTGAAACTGAGACATAGCATATGTATAACCTCCCCGGATTTTGCATGCTGGAAGAAATTTACTTTTCTTTTTCATTTTTTAAGAGACAGGGTCTCACTATATTGCCCAAGCTGGAGTGCAGTGACCATTCACAGGTGCATTCATAGTGTACCGCAGCCTTAAACTCCTGGCCTCAAGCAATCCTCTCATCTCAGCCTCTCAAGTAGCTGGCACCACTGCAAGAAATTTAAGTGATATATTTTGGGCTTGAATTATTTTCAAACAATTTAAGACCACTTCTAATAATCACCAATTCCTGTAGTAACTTACTGAATAAAAACCAACTTCCCAGCCAACTTGATTTTTTAAAATCAGGGAACCACAGTCAACCTATTAATTAGTTTTATTTCTAAAATCCAGACTTCTCTCTTTTTTGACATTGAGATACTAGTCTTCCATATCCTTGCTTTTTATGAGTCTTCAATGAATGCTTTAAAATATTTTCATACGCATATCAATATTTAAAATATGGCATGTAATGTAATGCACTCTGGGTTCTCAATTTAGCGAACTGTTCCTACAGTCTGTTAACCCATGAAACCAAGCGCTTTAATACAAGGTTAAACGCTTGGGTGAGGTAATGCTGAAAGCAGTCACTAGAGGGAAATAGAGGGCTGAGAACTAGGTACAGGAATGGTCGACCCCTGGTTAGAAGGACCAAGAGAACGATAGGCTGGAGAAGGCTAAACCTCTGTAGAAGAGGCTACTCTCAGGTTTACCCCGAAATTCCACTTTAGATATGGTTCACATAAGAACAGAGATAGAGCTGGGACGCAATCAAGACAGATCAGCCAGTCAGCACTCAGTTGGAAGACACATCAATGACAAGGTTTTTAGGAAGTTTGATATCAATGCCAGAAAATGACCTTGAAGCAGGAGTCTTAGTGTCATGGTTGAAATCTGCAGTCCAAGCTAAGATCAAAATTATATCAATTCAGCAATAATCGTTACAATTTATTGACTGTCTACTATATATCTAGCAATGAACCAATATTATCTCCCATTCTTGGAACAAGCTTTGGAAAGTAATATTTTCCCCATTTCACAAAAAGGAAACTGAAGAACAGGATTTAAGAAATTTAAGTGGCAAAACTGGGATCTCAACAGAGATTAGTTGAGCTGCAAGGCATGTACTCACTATGCTGAAAGACTGGACAATACCGTATTCTGATTCAATAATTAGAACTCTGGGAAGAGAGCTGTGGAAAAGCTTGGAGCAATCTTCTCCTCAACTCTAAGGCCTTCTGTCTTAGAATTTGCGGTGAGTGGACACATCTTCTCACTTATCATAGGCTTCTATTTTCTGTAATCAAATTTCATCAGTCCTTCACAGATTTGAAGTTCATTCTGCTTTTTTAGGACCATGCAAACAAAATATATCCTATTAATACATTTCATTTTCTTTAAAGTCAAGGCAAATGAATACTTTGTAAACATAATGTATGGCTTTTTAAAAGTTATATGTAATGGATACAAACTTAGTACAGTGAAAATTCTCAGTGACAATTTGAATTTCCAATAGGATTTGAATTTCCAATAGGATTTGAATTTCCAATAGGATCTGCACCTCTTGGCCGAAATACTGGCCACATAAACATGGCACCAGATCTATCTGGTAAAAATGCATATTAAGTAGTTAAGGCAGCAAATGTTTATAGGGGGTAAAAGAATTTTCAGTTTTAGCATCTGTAAAGCCAATATTAGGTGAACAGGTAAATGAATTCAGGGATAAAATGATCAGTAGCAGCATAATAAAAGGATTTTAAAAGCACTGAACCTTAAATAACTCAATGGAAGTAAAGAGAAAGTTCAAAAAATGATTCACAAGATAGCTCAAGCGATAAGGTCCCTGATTTCAAGGATGTATACATATGTTTGAATAAAATTGTTTCAAGAAATCTGAGGTTCAAAAGGCAATATTTCTAAATATACTGGAAGCATTCTAAAACAAGCTAGAGTACTATAGTAATAAGCATGGTTCTTTATAGTTTTCCTGTTCTGGGTTTCTAATGCTTTTCTCAAGACAGAGGTAATTAAAATAATATATTACCATCAAAATCTATGTTAGGTCTTCTGATGGGATTTCCTGTGGTTTCCTCAAGTCACCGACATCTCAGTACATATTTGAATATATCCATTACATATCTCAATGTGTTTAAACCTATTAAGAATGATCTCCCTCCTGTTTGTCTTCTTCCTCCACAACATATATGAATACAAGATTCCTTGCAATTAATACAAATTTCTTCCTTAAACTTAATAATGTTTTCTTAGCAGATTTCTCTGATCCAAAAAAAGTAATTTGCAAGGAATATGAAATAGAAAACAACTTCAGGTTTATAGACTGGAGACCCATAATTCATATTATTTGTTATGTTTTCATCTTTTCTGAAAATACAGATTTTAAATACTTGTAAAAAATAAATGGGATGTTTGTTTTAAATTCTGCCTCAATCCAAATACCTGGAAAGCCCTGTATTTCGAAAACTTGAAATTTCATTCTAATTTTATTTAAGGTTAAACATAGAAGTGTGCTTTAAAAGTTCACATCTATCTCCCTTAACTTGGGCTGTACAAATTGTCCCAAAGATTTACATAGTTATTATGGCATTTTTTTGATGCACAAGGAACCAATAGGTGATAATTTATCTCATAGCAGCAGGATAGATGAGCCCAGCTCACACTGGGCACTTACTGAGCAATGTCCTACTTGCTGAAAATGGAATCTTATAAAAGTTGGGCTGTTTCTAAAATGTCCATGGGCATTCTAAACCTGTAGTCTGAGCCAGATGTCTGGAAGCTCTTAGAGATGATTTTTATTTTTTCTAATACAGTCATATCTTTCCCTTTGCTGTTTTCTTTGCACTTATCTGTCTTGTCTTATTTTGGTTTGGTTCCTTCTGTCCCTGCTGTAAACAGAAGTATGTCCTTTCTTCTCCCTCTCAATTTATTGACTTTTCTTTTTCTTTTCTTTTTTTTTTTTTTGAGCATATGTGAGCATACAGCATCTGTTTCCAAGCCTATACCAGATGGATGAAAATAATTATTGGAGAAATCTGAGAAAAGGAAGATCAAGGCACTTTTAACATCAGCAGAAGATAATGAAAGGGTAGAACAAAAATTGAAAACCAGAGACACTGTCAGGAGTAAACTAAAGCCACTTCTCAGAGTTTCCATAGATCCAATGGCACTGCCATAAATCTAGATTGAGAAAGTCCATTAGCAGTTATTGCAGATACAGTTACCTTCTCCTCACCCCAAATTCTAAATAAAATATATCAAAATAAATGAACAGATTGGTTATTATTTAAATATTAACCCAATTTGCCAGCTTCTTTTAGGTCGTAAATTTGCATGGACTCATGGTAATCCAAATGACTGTATAACCAATCAGGATATTTAGGAAAAAAAAAAAAAGAATCAGTGGCAATACTCAAGCCCAGGTTCCATGCCATCTGCAGGAGCTGTGCCACCGTTTTTATTATAAAAGAAACTACTATTAGGATGCAGTCGGACTGGTTTTTCCAAGCACTAAATCCATATGGGTAGAACTCAATAAATACCATGCACATAATAATTACTAACATCTGTAGAGTGCTTTCCGGTCTACATGTTGCTTTGTTTAACCTTCATAACTGTTATAATCCTCTTTTATAGCTCAGGAAACTGAGGCTTAGGGAGGTAAAGTGATCTAGTTAAGAGCACACAGCAAAAAACTTTTAAACCATAAATTTTGACTCTATAATGAAGTTTTTTGATTCCAAATCCAGAGCTTCTGCTACCTTGTGGTGCCTCTCTGAAAATGTTTTAACAACAATAATGTTGTGATTATACCTTTCAATGTAATTTTTAGAAAATGTTGCCTTTTAGTATCTTCCAGCCACAGCAGCTAATATTTTATGAGGTCATATTTCTGAGTTATTTGTAGTATGGAAACTGAACATTTGAAAACATTATTGAAATCTATTTAAAAACTGTTATTTGGTTAATTTGTAAACCTCAACCTCCTTGCCTCAAGTGATCCTTCCACCTCAGCCTCCCGAGTAGCTGGGACTAAAGACATGCACCACCATGCCTGGCTAGTTTTTGTAGAGACAGGGTTTTGTCATGTTGCCTAGGCTGGTTTCAAAGAGTTTGTAGTGATTTTGAAAGCGAAAGCAAGCTAGATAAAGCCTACTTTATGAAACATGTGCTTGGAATAAAATAGATTAGGATTTAAACCCATAATAATAAAGAGCCACGCCACCTCTCCTTATAGGGAATATTTAATATATTCCCCTAGAACATAAAGAGTTAATTGTTAATCACTTAACAGGAAGACTAGGAGAAGGGGTTCTACGACATTAAAAGCAAAAATGGGAAGAAATGTTTTAAATAAACTAGAAATCGGTGGGACCACACATTCACTTAATAAATCTTTACTGGCCATTTACTATGTATCATATAATGCCAAATACTTGGGGAAATTTAAATTTTAGAAGACAAAGCCTATCTTTTTGAAGAGCTCAAAGTGCAATGGAGAAGAAAGCAATGAATAAAATGTTTGAATTAAGAAGGAGAAACTTGTCTGCAGGAATAAGCAAAGGAAGTAAAATTAAATTAGAGTTCTGAAGGATAAATTGTATCTTCACAGGATGAGAAATGGGTAAAATGCATTTGGAAAGGAGCAGCTCACGCAATGGCATAAAAGTATGAGAAAGAGATTAAGTTCATGCAATGGTGACATGGTCACTGCAAGTAGATCACAGGGTACTTGAACGAGTGGTGAGAAAGGAGTCTGAAAGACTGCAGGGGCCGGTTTGAGAGGGGTCTTTGATGACACGACGAGATGTAGTGACTTTGCAGGCTCCAGGGTGCCAACAGCCTATGCTTTTCAGGCAGGCAATAGCACCATGGAATGTGCAGTTTAGAAAGACAATTCCGGTGGCTTAATGTGGGAAGAGACTGGTGGCAATGCAGTATTTTATAGGCTGTTGCAGCTGTAGCAGCAAGATGGACCTATAGAATTATGTATATTGTCCTAAATTAGAGGGTGTATTTTACTTTAGAATAATCAATGCCGTTAATAATTGTAGGCAGTTCATAATATAAAACGTTTTCAAGCAAGGGCAGGTTTGGGGAGGAAGGCCTTGAGGAAGATTCATTATATAGTAAGCTAATAGGAATAAAGGCTTCAATGTGATGTCCGATGTCTTAGGATGGTGACAGTTCTTTTAGTTTTAGCTCTCCAAAAAGTATTTCCACCATTTTATTTAAATATCTCTATTAGCATCCTTATATGTTAGGGATTTCTTCTTCTTTTAAAAAACTTAATTTCAGAGACCTCTCCTGAGAAAAAAATAGAAAGAAACTCTTTATGCTTGCAAAGCTAATAAGCAATACATTGTATTGGGAAAAAATATAAAAATAAGTAGAGAACCTTTTATTTAAAAATGGAAATAAGTCTTTAAAGTCGTTTTTTCTGAAACAAATGTGGTCTTTTGTTACATTGAGTGGGAAAATCTTAAATCAAACTTTCCAGGATAGAACATTAAAAAACAAAACCCATCAACTCTGAGCTCTCTCTCTACTGTTGAGCACAAAACCAAAATCACAAATGCACAACATTTACTTTCATAGTTCACGGTGACTGATTTGTGTATTGAACACAATGATTTTCTTCCTTTGTGCTTCTTTAAAAAAAGTAACATTAACTTGCAAAAAAGACTCCAAATTGCTTATGTAGGAACAAACTTAAAAGTGAGACAGAATTTCATCTACAAGGCTTAAAACATCTCTTAATTGTTATGATGTAACAGCAGTCTAAAAATTTTTATCAACAAACAAAAAATCAGTCAAGCACACACACCTTCTGAGACCATCTTGTCTGGATAACATCTTCAAAGTTAGGACTGAGTGATTACTAGTCTACGTTCTATGCTAAGGTGCTCAAGAAAAACAACTTCATATTGAGTGACATAAACAAGTGCAGCAAATCTTTTTAAATTTGCATGTTGTTTTGGGAGCCTTTTAAAAGAAACTGTAAGCCAGCATATGGAAAGTTATAAATGGAGCCCAAGTTTGCTTGGAATCTAATTAGAGATGCCTTCCAGCTGTTGCCACTGCCTGGAGCCTCTATTTCCTCTTACTCTCTCCTTCCAAACAAACCATGGAAAAGCAAGCTGAACACCAGTTCTCTTGCCTGACGCAACATGAACTGATTTAGGCAGTCTGGCAAAAAGGAGATGAAAAAATCAGCCTCCTTATTAAATGTTGCTGTACATAAAATGTACAATGAAAATTCAGTCGAATTAAGGACAGAGGTATAGAAGCAAAATTAACGTTAAAAAATTTAAGTGCATTACCAGCAGCACAAAAGGCATTATCAATATTATGACTAAAGACAGCATGGTGTCTAATGTTCACCTATTTGTAGAAAAATGAAAGAATCCATTAATTATTTTTCTATTTGCACTATGTTCTCCAAACTAGACACCTATGATAACCAAAGAAGGTCTTTGAACCCCTAACTTTGATAAAGATCAGGCTCCTACATCATAGATTGGTTATTTTTTTCTCTATGGATATTAACCTGCATGTTTTGACTTTAGCCGATACATATATACAAATAGATACATAACAGAGCTTAAGGCATGGAAGGTTGGGAGAAGGATGTGGCATTGATGTAGCTCTTTGAAGAGAAATAAAATTTCAAATAGGCTGAGAAGAGGGTGATTGTGGTATAAATTTACCTCTCTCATTTCTTTAATCTTCTACTTTCCACTAATTTCCCTATATTTTCTCCTCAGCCTTCACCTTCAAGCATATGTCTCTCTCTATCTTGAAAATATCCTCTCTTGGAACCCGCTATTTTTTAAATTGCCACATTTCTCTTTCCTTTCTTGCAAGATTAAACCCCGCACGCAGGCTACACCCACTCTTGCCATTTCTACTCTACCAACCCTTTTAATAACCTCTTCAGAATCAAACCATTTGTGTTTTGGGAGCGGGATGGGGGTGGGAAGATAAAAATGATGACTTTCTTCTTAAAATAGCAATTTAAAAGCACGATAAAATTTAAATAATAACTAGAGCTGTCTGAAGAGAACATTTCTTTTCAGGCAAATGTGAAATTAAGTAATCTGTTTCATGTTGCGGTAGACATTTTTCTGAATGGCTCACACAGAACATAAACCTTAAAAGCCAACAGCATACTGTGGGGGGAATAATTTCTGTTTACCCTCAGTTCAGTGTTCTGTCCCATTAACAGCTCTACCTCTAAATATGCATGACATTTCCTTTCAAAAATTTTCTGTTTAATGTTTCAAATGCACACACTAGATCTGACTTAGTAAACCAATTCCTTAATAATGAGTCATCTGGCCAAACATGAGTCAGAGTAATAAAGCTCTCGAGACACTTCACTATTTGAACTTTAGGGACATATATAAACCTGTGAACGATTTCACAGCCTGAAGAAAGAATTTTTAGCTGTTATGAGAAGCTGGGTAAGAGAGAACCAGCACTTCCCTGTTTTCATGTCTTATCTTTTCTGAATTTGTAACATTGATTAGAAGAACCTCTGTTCTATGATTTTTTATTTACAGAGATTGCAATGATCATGTGTAGCATTAAAATACAAATTTCACAGACAGTATATTTTACTTTGTGTATATTAAACATGTTTTTTTCTTGAACATTTGGCAACTATAATCAACATGAGATTAACTGTTTCATCAGAATGTGTTTATATGGTTGCATATTATCAAATGGAATTTGGTTTCTGAAAAATGGAATGAAAGTATGGAACAAAATGGCAGAGCTAAAAGTCAGAATATTCCCAACCTTGTATTTTAGTTAATTTTACTGTGATCTATCAGCCACCCAATAGATTTTTTTTCTGAAAGCCTTCTAGTTTCTCTTGTCTTCAAGACTATGTTCATTGGGGTATTAAGTAATGTACCTTCTATCATTGCTTCTCTCTTGAATTATTGTTCTCTTTCCATTCTTAGTGTTATCATTACGGTTTTTTTTCAGTATTTTGTTTCTCATTCAGACAGCTTCCTACTGGTTTCCCTGTTTTAGAGTTGGAGAAATAATAATGAGACATGGATAAAATACAATTAGGCAATGATAAAACGATAAGAAAACAAGGTATTGACAATGAGTTGTAGTGGGCATTTTACAAAATACACATTGATCGAGAATAAATTTTATGTGTGGTTCCCTATACCTGTTCTGGTATGCCTAACTACAGCTTAGTTATTGAATAATAGTTTCCTTGTATGCTTTCCTCACTACTGGGCTATTGAATTTGATGACAAGTGAAAAATTTGAGAGTTTGAGATCATCTGAAAAAGCTTCTCTACTTCACAAACCTTGCTGTTTTATAATTATTTTCTGTGTACCTCCAGTATCCTGGTTTGAATGTTAAAGTATTTCATTTTCATCTCCATGGTGGTGTTATAAAACCGCAGGATTATTAGTGAACTGCCTCAACTTTAATAGCTATAATTGATTCTGGTGTATTCATCAAAATGACAGCTATAATTTGTAGAAAAAAAAGAATCAAAGAATTTTCTTATAAAAGATGTGTTTAATAGATCTGTAGCTTTTTATTATTGCTGCTGCTGATTCATTATTTTTACATTTTATAACTTGATGCTGGTACTTCTTGAGAATGATTGCCTTATTAACATATTACTTATTTGTAGCATTAAGTCAGTAACTTATTTTCTTGATATGTTAAGAAAATTCCCTCAAAGTAGATTGAATAGGGCAGTGTTTTTCAAACAATGACCCAGGAGCCCTGGAGATTGGCAGAAGTGCCCCGAGCCTGCCTTAGAAGGAAGGGGTTGAGGCTGGAACCTGCACTAGCAGATCTACTTTCTTTTGTTTTATATGCTGGACTTCTTTTCCATCAAGAAATTCATTTGACTGAAAAGTGACACATTGAAAAAGAGTTTGAAAAATTATAGAATAAGTTTCAAGTCCAACAGAGAAATAAACCAATTTACCTTTGGCAAACATAGGTAACGTGAACTGGGCAGCTCCTCTAGGTGAAAAATAAGTAATGGGAGAGAGAGACTACAGTGCAGATCCTGAGCAGACACCATGGAGAAGTGACACCCACACTCTGATCACACCTGGAGGAGGCATCCAGCACGTTGGAAGTGAAGTAGCACTTACCCAACAACATAACCTGGGTTGCCTAAAGTTTTACACTTTAAGATTTAAAATAAAGGGGCTTAGAGAAGGGATTTGAACTTGTAAAAGATTATGAGATTCTTATTCTTTAAAAAATAAACAATCACAAATGTTCTTTTGCAGGATATGTTCTGTAGTGCTTGTTCTTAAAATCTAAGAAAGGGAATGTTTGGGCTAACATGTTACATCAGATGGAGGTTGGACGTTTTGATTTCAATACTGTGTGTGGTAACTAAGGTGAATGCATTAAAACAAACATTCCTCTCAATGAAATCTTTCTCAATGTCTGCACAGCTGTTAACTCTTTGGCCCAGAAAACTGCATCAAAAGCCAGCAGTAATACAACTTATGCAGGTTGGCCCATAAACTGTTTAGTGAGTACTTTGCTTTTGGAGAACAAAAAGAAGAGATCACCAATGTGGAAAAGTTGTAATAAATGACAATGTTCTATAAATTAAAGCAAATGACCTATTTTTAGCTATTTTAAAATAAGAAGCAAAATAGGTGGACTTCAAGTTTTAACAAAAATCTTGCCAGATGTAAATCCTTAAAAATTATAATTCTAAAAATGTAAGTGCAGGACCACCAACTACTGCTCAGACTCTTTTGCCTTGACATTAATCCAAGAGAAAGGGAAAAACATGTATGTGTGCCTGTGTTTGTCTCTCTCTCTCTCTCTGTGTGTGTGTGTGTGTGTGTGTGTGTGTGTGTGTGTGTGTGTGTAAACACTTGATATTTGATGCAATCAATAGTCTGAAGTAGCAACATTTTCATTTTGATGAAAATAGGGATGTTGAGTGCATACATTGGCTCTTTCTGTTGATTTCTTTTAATCATCAACCATCTGACCATATGGATGGACTAATAACATGCAGAGTTTTGGCTACAAGTCCAACGTAGTGAAGTAAGGGAGAATGGTGAATTCACCCAGTTCATTCAACTCTGGGACAGCCGTGAGGCCAGACAAGCATGCTTGCCCTAATGTAGCACCCTGCCCCAACATTCACCTGTGCTGCTTTTTCTTTCTTTTGAAATATTAGTGAGTGGCTGAGCCAGAACTCAGATGCAGACCTTCTGACACCACTTACTATGATAAAAGAAAAAAAAATCTATAACTGCAATCCTTCAAAATATAAAACCTAAGGGAGTCAGAAAAAGAAGGGAGAAACAAAGACTATTATTTATTGGTAGGCTTTGAAATGTGAAATATAATTGTCAAAGAGATTCCTGTAACTTGTGATACATGTCTGCTGGAGCAGGCACCTTTTTTTTTTTTTTTTCTAATAGTTGAATGAATAAACTTGAATTTGTCCTTGACTCCTCCTTTTCTTCCTGTTGCATTTGTAGTTCATCAAAAAATCTTGTCTGCTCTATCTGCAGAATATACTCAGAATCCATCACTTTCCATCACCCCTCCCTCTGTCCCATGATCTCTCACACAGGTTAATGCTATGGTCTCTTTAACAGATCCACCTGCTCTCCATCCGACCTGCATGATCTATCCTCAACACAGCCACTAAAGCAGTTCTGTTAAAAATGAAGTTAGATCAGGTTCCCCTTCTGCTCCAAGCTTCCCAGTGGATCCCATTTTAGTCGAGTGAAAGTCAGTGCCCCTGCCTGTGCCTACATTACACTACAGGATCTGGCTTCTTTAACTGCTTTGACCCCATTTCCTCTTAATCTCTCCTGGTCTGTCTCTGAACTAGCTTAGTGGGGCTGTCCTGTAATGGTACTTGAACACACCAGGGGTGTTCCTGTTGTAATACTTATGCATTCACTCTTCTTTCTGCCTGGAGAAGCTACATACAACGATCCCTTCCTTGCCTCCCTTCTTATCAAGGTCTTCCGTGACCTTTGTAATATTGTCCTCTCAATTTCTGTGACTCCCAATCCTCTTTCCTGCCTTATCTTCTTTCTTAGAGCATGTCACCCTCTAGCATACTATATAGTTTTCTTATTTGTGTCTTCTTGCACTAGAATATGAACACCATGAAAACAGGGATTTTTATAGGTTTGTCAACTTATATATTTCCCAGTGTATTAGTCCATCCTCATGTTGCTATAAAGGACTGCCTGAGACTGGGTAGTTTATAAAGGAAAGAGGTTTAATTGACTCACAGTTCCACCTGGCTGGGGAGGCCTCAGGAAACTTACAATCATGGGGGAAAGGGAAGCAAACATGTCCTTCTTCACATGATGGCAGGAAGGAGAAGTGCCAAGCAAAAGAGGGAAAAGCGCCTTATAAAACCAGCAGATCTTGTGAGAACTCACTCACTATCATGAGAACAGCAGCATGGGGGTAACGCCACCATGATTCAATTACCTGCTGCAGGGTCCCTCCCAGGACACTTAGGGATTATGAGAACTACAATTCAAGATGAGATTTGGGTAGGAACAAAGCCAAACCATAATCACCCAGTGTCTAGAACAGCACCTGGCAAAGAGTAGGTTCTCAATATTGAATGAATGGATGAATGAATGATGGATGAATTTCAGGGAAATAAAAACGACACCACTTAAATCAAGGGCCATTACTTAATGAATGATTAGCTGGTAGTGGAGTGTCACAAGGGTTACAAATTAGCCGATGAATAGTTTTCTTCCTTTTAGAATTTCTAAAGGTATACATTTAACCTTGGGAGTTTCCTTTATGTAATTAAGAAATAATCACACTCAGCTACATCATGGGTTTGAGGTGAGGATTAAATGACATAATCCAGTGTATTAACATTGATCTTAAAACACTATTTTAAATTGCTTTTTTTTTGTTTTATTATTTTGACATCTGGAATCATTCAGAGACACAGTGGAAAAGAAAACAGATCTAAAAAGCTCTATTCTTGGAAACGAACCATTGAATTATTTTAATTTTAGCAAATCTCAGACTATTGATCCAATTGACCCATTTTTCTTTTAGAGATAAATAATGACAGTGAATTATCTAGCTAAGATGGCCATAACACTTTAGAAAATTATGATATACTGTATATGCACACACTCTGAAACTGATGAAAACCAGATAAAATTCATAGCTTCCTGATTTAAACAACACACTGAAATAAGCATTTGTTTTCTTCAAGTTCACACTGTAGTAGAAAAGGAGCACATAAAAAAGAACTATACTCCAAAATGTTTACATCTCCTAGTACCTTTAATTTCATGATACAGTTCTCAGAAACTCATTATTCAGTTATCAGTTGCTTTTTGCTCTTGAACCAATTACTAAGCCTAAAATAAGAATATATAAACTTATTTTATGAGAGAACAGACATGCATTAATAGGGATGTTTCTTCCAAGATTGAACTCTATGAGACCTTAAATAAGCTTTCAACTGCAGACTTTAGGAGGAAAAACACAGGTCAACTGACTTGATTCTAAGATAGTACTTGAATTAAATAGTCATATGCATATAGCAGGTGTTAAACAGTTGGGAGAAAAATAAAAGAGACAAAGATGGCAATAAATCACCATGGAGCGTTAAAGATCAAAACTCTACCGCAGTGTTATTCAGTATGGTTCCCAGACCAGCAACTTCACCTTCACCAGAGAGCTTATTGGAAACGCAGAACCAAGACCCCCACCCTAGCCTTTCTGAAATATTAGGGTAGGACCAGAGGCATAATATTTTAACAAGTTCTCTGAGTAATTCTTATACATTGCTCTATTATATACATCTTACAGTCCTAAATATCTAATTGTTAATATTTGTTAGGATCAATAATATATGTGGAAAAAAATTATAAAAACTTTTCACAGTCAAATTTAAACAAAAGATTGTATAGGAACTAGGTATTACTTCAAAACACTGTAACAAAAATAGAACTGGAATTATATTTTAAATGCCTTGTGGCATCTACACTTATGGAATATTTAAGTTCTTCATTTCATCTCTCAATAAGAGAAACATAGTTTGATTAATAGGTTAAGTATTCTTAGAAACTCTGAAAGGTAATATTGACATCATTAATTTATATATGAAACAAATGAAAAACAAGAACTTCTTCCAACTTCCCAAAACTGTATGGGAAACAATTTTGAATATGAGTTTCTGGTTTGTAGAATAACTATGTCTACTTAGCCTGCTGTTGCTTTACTTTAATAACAAAAGATATTTATTGTTTTCTACTCTAAAGAAAGCTGTGCAGGGATAACAAACCCATCCTGTCAGCCATCTGAATAATGTCATTGAAAAATCCTAGTGTTGGAGTTGGAATCTTAGCTTCATTACTTACATCTTGGCCAAGATACCTTACTTCTCTGAGCTTGATTTCTTCAAGTGTAAAATGTGGATAATAATAATTACTCTAGAGTTACAAGACTTGGAGAATATATAAAAGAGATACAGATATAGATATACACATATATAGAGAGATTAATATAATTTTTAGAGATAGATGTACTAAGAATATATATTAGAGGGTAATGTACATAAGGTATATTTCTTAGCACATACATGCCAAATAAATGTTAAATTGCTATTAACAAGACTTTATGCTCAACTAAATCTTTTATTTAGGAAAAATGTATGATTAAACTATAGAGTTACAAAGACAGCCAAACTAGGAACAAAGTAAAAAATTGATTTCAAACGTTTCAGTTTATATTTTCAAGTATTTTAAAAATATCTAAACCAAATTAAATTTTAATTTGAGTCTGAATCACTCTGTTCACATACATTCATTATGATCTTATCCTGTGCAAGAACCTGGTGTGTTCAAAGGATCTAACACAATCTTTAACCTCATAATGTTCAACTCCAAAGGTAATTTTAAAAAATCTGATAAAACAATGTAAAGATTATTTGGTTTCACATTGAAGATTAGGGACAATGTTTTAAATAAATTTCTAATAAATTATAAATTTATTTTAAAAATTTCAATTATAGAATAGATAATTTATAGTAGAGATGAATTAATATTAAAATACAGGTATGCTACCAAATTTACAGTATGTATTAATGTATTATAGCTTAATAATTGAAATGGAGTTAGTATATATAATTCATGAATTTTTGCTAGGTAGAAGTGCAGAAAAATTAAGTCAAGTAAATTGTGCACTTTGTTTTGGTTTATTTTTAGATAGAAGGAACTTATACTCATTTATGTGATGGTAGAAATGCTTTAGTAGAGATAAAAAATGACAAAGAAAGAATGTAAAATTGTAAAAACTAAGTCCTTGAGGAGGAAAAAAGTGGCTTGGGGAGGCATGGGTCTTTTGACTGATGCATCTATCTCAATGCCTACTGGAAGAAGAAGGCTGCACATGTGCTGTCAATGCTGGTCAGTTGGTAAATTTGGTGTTGGTAATGAAAGGGCTAATTTATTATTGCTTCTAATTCTCAATGGAATTTTGAAGTAAGGCAATGAGCTGATGAAAGGATATTAGCAGTTTGAGGAGATGAGAAATTTGGAAATAGTAGTTCTGAAGAATGGGACACATAATATAGGAAGGTAAAAAAACTGCTGGCATTTTTAGTGCCTATTTTAGATTTGTGGTTATGAATTTAATTTAATCAAACATTGGTTGCCACCCACATTTTTGTTGCTGTGTCCAACTGCTGGCTGCACCTTCTTGGGCACTGAATGTTGCAAAACCATGCCTATCAAGCCCATTTGGGCTTTGTGCACGGAACAATTCAGCACTCTGACAGGGTCCAGTCAGTTACCACATCCTCTTTCTCATCTATGGCTGGTCCTTACCCTCTCTACCAAGCTTGAGAACAACCAAGTTTCAAGAAAAGCATATCATGGTATCTCCTCAGGAAGGGGACAATGACCTAGTGATTATTTTCTGGCATGTCTCCCTACGAGGCTCAGTTGGTTGGTAGGTTTGGTGTGGGTGATAGGATAGAGAAATTTTATTATGGATTATATTCAGTCAGTGGAGAGAGAATTCATTGTTATAAAATGAAGATTTTGAGAAAGATAATTTTCAACATCTCTTTGAGCTCTAAAAATTCTATCACTCTTTGTTGGCTGCCACATCTTATTACACCCAAGAAAAAGTGTGTAAAGCTTACACAAGGTAAACCTAAAAGGTTCATAAGTATGCTGTCATTTCTGATATGGATTCTACATATGCCCATTTGGAACAAAATTTATAGGAGTAGTTGAGACTTTGGAAATACTCTTCTCTTTCTATTCAAAATAAATTCCCTGAAAATTCAGTTAAATCTAAAACTTAGAATGTATTGAGCATTTATTATATGCCAGGTAATGCTCTATGTATTTTTGCCCCTATGGTCTTATTTAATAAGATAAGAAAGAATGGTCTTTTAAGTTCCTACTACTCTCATTTGATGAGGAGATCTACAGGCTTTAAGTAACCTAAGGTTTCACTTGAAGTGTGGAGCTGGGGTTAGACATAGGTGTACAATCCTATGCCTCCTGCTTCTCAAATAACTTCCATTTAAAATAACTGCTTTCTCTGAATATGATATAATTTAAAATTATGCTTGAACAATTACTAAAGGTTGCTACCAATCTAAATATCTATGTTCATCCAACTCTATCAAATATGGCATCATATTTCAGTTGATGAGCAATGGTAATATGATGTTAACAATTTTTAAATCAAAACATTCCTCTTAAATTTTAAGCTATTGTACTAACAGATGAAAAATTTGAAAGCTCCTAAAATTCATAATGAATATAAAATGTCATTCTGACATTTTCAATATGTCAGTCATAAAACACTTAACATAGTTTTTGAATATTTTCTCCTTCAGAGCTTTTCACTTGGTTTAATTATTGCATAAATGTTTATTGAGAGTCTGCTTATCAGCAAACATTCATTAACTATTTATGGGCTAAGTTAAAGTTTCCCAGCCTGGAGGTAACCAAGATTATCAAGGTTATATGGGTTTCTATGTGGCAGGCTCTGTTCTAAACGCTTTAGGTACACAATTCTACTTAATCCTCATAATAACCCCATGAGGTACTATAATGATCATCCCCATTTTCCCATGAAAAAACTGAAGGATAGATAGTTTAAGTTATATGGCTGATGTCACATAAGTTCTTTGCTTTTAATCACTGTGATAAATATATGAGAGATATGTATATACATATAATATTTATGTATTTTTTAATTAGACTATATGAAGTTTATAATTTAGTGTATTCTTGTACACTCAGGGATTAAGAGGAAAGAAGTAAGTAAGTATAAAAACTGAAACAGAAGTATGCAGAAAAGACGGTAGGAACAGAGCAGAATGCACTTGACTCTGCCTGAGGTGGGGTGAGAAAATGACCAGAAAAGCATTGGTGAGGAGATGAGGGTGGTAGAGAGTCTAGAAAGATGCAATGATGTCTTCCCAGAGATGAATGAAGAACACTCTACCAAAGGAAGCCCTGCTTAGAAGGAAACAGGAAAATGAGGATGCGGGCCTAGTGGGAAAGTACAAGTACTCTGGCAGTGATAATCCAAAGAAGGTATAAATGGAAAATTGTTGGGAGATTGCAACAGAACTTTGGCAGAGGCCAGATTTTGAAGGCCCTTATATGGAATGCTTAGGAATTATGCTTTAGTCTCCAAGTAGTGGAAACTTCTAAAAATTTTAAGCAGGGAAGTGTCATGATTTCGACTATTGTAGGAATTTTACTCAGGTCTTATTGTAGAGGTGGATTCAGAACCTGTAAGCAATATAATCATTTAGGAGGTTATTGAAATAGTGATAATAGAGCACAGATGTCTCAATACCTATGAACCCTAAAACAATATATTAATTCAAAACTATTATGTACCTTCTAAGTTGTAGCCCCAGGGGTGAGTTGGAATTCAAAGCTGGATAAGATATATTAATAATATTCAATAACATGTCTTGAGATTTTTGATTGAAGGAATTTGAAGTAATTAATCACTGGCCTTTCCATTACCCTATTTCCAATTTCTCATTTAGTGTTATACTTTTAACATCACTGTTTAAATACACATTTCCTCTCACTTGTCACAGGCTTAGCAGGGTTCCAATAGATTCTGCCAAACATGACAACCAACAACAACTAAAACAGTTTGCAAGTGCAGAGACCTTAAAAAATACACCCCAGTCACCTTTTTGGACATCTCAGAACTAACAATATCATGCAGAACACCATGCCAGATAAAATATATTAAAATTAAAACACATGGGGTTTAATTTTAACCCTTTTTTTAATCAACAGATTAAAATTGGATGAGAGCTATGACTATACTTACAGAAAGCTTTAAAAAGAATAAAAGCCACTTCTTGTAAGGTTTTTATATGATTAATATTGCGAAGACATAACTATAAATTTAAAATAATGTTTACTTTAAAATTACATAATATGTAAAATTCTCAAAGTACTTTCACATATGTTATGTCAATTGATGAGTAGAATAACTTTTAAGATTGGTAAGTCAATAATAACATTACTATGATTCTATAGATGAAAACAATGCATCTCAGAAATATCAAAAAATGTATTCAAGGTCAAAGTCAGTAATTTGTTGAATCAGCACTGTACTGTAATTCAGATTTCCTTACTATAAATTATATGCTATTTCTTCTCAATCACATTGCCTGCCAGGGGGAAATAAATAATCATTTATTCATCTATTCATCCATTCATTCATTCTTCACACATTTACTTAGTGCCTATTAGCACAAAGCACTGGATTGGGTGCTGTGAGATTTATGGAGATTATAAATCAGCTTTGCTGCTTAGGGGACCAGCAAGGGAAGGAAGAGGTTCAGTAATAGCTGTGAAGGAGTGGAAAATCATGCCTAATGAGACAGTTACAGAAAGGAGTAAGAAAGCTCATCGTTGAGATAAATCATTTCTGGCTAAGGAATCATGGAAAGCTGTATAAGCAAAGTGGTATTTTAGGTGAGTTTTAATGAGTGGTTGGCATTTGGGCAAAGAGAGATAGGGTGTACATTCCAAGGAGTGAAAACAGAATGAGCCAAAGAAGAGAGGAAATTGAGATGTTCTTGAGAAACTGTGAATCATCCATTTCCCTGGAGTAGAGTTTGAAGGTAGAAGGAGAAAGATCTGGCTAAAAATATTGTTTAAAGACTGGACTGAGGTGTTTATAATTTTCATAGGAGGCAGAATGGGGTGATGAAAAATAATTAAGTCACATAAGTTTAGGTTTAAATAGCTCTGCTGCTTAAGAAGCTGTGTGACCATAACCAATTTATATAATTTCTCTAAAATTTTCATATGCCATCCATAAAATGTGGACATTTGTGAAATATTTTAGAAATATTTTTCAAATAAAAATAATTTTACCTTCAGCGTGAATGTGAAGATCAAATAACAGGATGTCTGAAAAACAAATGGCACAAGAAGGCCTTCAGCATAAAATTATTTCTTTTCCTATTCTTTGGTAGCCAGTGGGGGACCTGGGAGGGTGTTCGCTGAGGATGGTGATGTCATGAGAGTCTGTTTTAGTAAAGCAAATGTGTTGGGTAAATTAGAGGAGAGAGGGGCTGGGCAAGGTGGCTCATTCCTATAGTTCCAGCACTTTGGGAGGGCGAGGTGGGTGGATCACTTAAGCCCAGGAGTTAGAGACCAGCTTGGACAACATGGCAAAACCCTGTCTCTACAAAAAACGCAAAAATTAGCCTGGCATGATGGTGCACACCTGTAGTCCTAGGTACTTGGGAGGCTGAAGCAGGAGGATGACTTGAGCCTGGGAGGTTGAGGCTGCAGTGAGCCATGATTATGCCGCTGCACTCCAGCCTGGGCGACACAGCAGGACCCTATCTCAAAAAACAGTAAAAAAATAAAAATAAAAAATAAAATAGAAGAGAGAGATTAAAAGATGAGAAGCAGAAAGTCTTTTATTTTTATTATTTTTTTTACAATAGGGCATGGAAAAAAATGCCTCAATGAGGTAACACCACTGGGAATATAACTAGAATTATAAAAGAACACTGAAACAAACTCTAATTATATCAAGGTAAAGTCTTACAAAAAAGATGAAATCAAAATTAATTTTAGAATATTGCTATAAGAAAAAACTGAATGAAACCAAACTTTGAAATAAAAAGACTTTTATACTGAGCTCATATTAAAGGCAGGGGCCCTAGGTCTTTTGGTTCTCCTATCTTTGATTTCTAAGAGTTGTCATTTGGATGACACAAGACATCGTCAGCCTTCTGCGCCTGGATAATTTCCACCTTTAAGAACAGCTATTTCGGAAACTCAATAGAATTATCTAAATAGGAATTCACTTCAATGGCTTTTTTTAAAGACTCTTTAAAATTATGGACTTTGAGCTTAAGAGTGTGCCAATAGTTTATTTGACCATAATTCTACTATCAGAAAGCCCATATGGTCAAATAGGAATTGGCAGCTCTTTGTCAAATGGTTTGACTATTGAGCCATTCTTTTTGAAATGGATGTGTGAGGTGTCAAAGCCACCCTCTCCACTTGTTATATCCATTTTCCAGAGTCAAAGTAAGGCTTGAAGAAAACTCTTGTTTTTCCTGAACTTCTAACAGTAAACATGTACATTTTTCTAAATGTTTAAGTATCAACTAAATATATATGAAAGTAATGACTGAACTCATATAACTAATGTAATTTATATTTATTGAGTCTTGTCTGGATGTAACATGCTGCTTAAAACTAGGCCTTGAATGAAAGAAGTGGATGGAAGAGGAAGCATGCATGACCATGATGTTTACAATAAGCTGATGGGAAATGAGTGTGTGTGTACACACATGCCTATCAAATGAAATAATCAAACTCTATTGCCCTAAGCTTACTTGACTCCTTCTCCTATCAGAGTGGCTGAAAGAATTCAGTTACCTTTTCAGGGTTTCCAACACTAGGACAATTATAACTTGAAAATTTAATATCTAAAATATTTGTAGTATTTTGTAAACTGGAAGACACGTTCCCCTGCCTTGACAGGCCACTACCATCCACAGAGGAGGCCTATCTGGATTCTATCTTCCTAGACCAAACTAGGCCACCAGAGCTCCCGACTGAGTGCCTGACTGTACAGTGTGGCTATAGCTGACAAGGCCCAGCTGAGGCAATTCCAGGAAGAGGCTATAATTAAAACCAGAAACTCATTACTTTCTAAGAGATGATCTGGAAAAAAAAAAAAACAAAAAAAAAAACCCCACCATGATTTTCATCCCTATTTATTTAAGTCTTTACCAAAATTTCAAACTTTCCAATATATTTGCTTTCATTCAGATTCTAATATCTATATGTCTATGTCCCTCCTCTACTCTCACTCAGTCCTTTCCCCATCCCAACTCCCTAACCCTTTCCAATATGCCCACTGTTATTTAGCAAAATCCTCCTTAAAACTTTTGTTTTCTAAGAGATGGGGTCTTGCTCTGTTACCCAGGCTAGAGTGCGGTGGCCCAATCATAACTCTTTGCAGCCTCAAATTCCTGTGCTCAAGGGATCCTCCCACCTCAGCCTCCCTAGTATCTGGGACTACAGGTGCATGCCACCACACACAGCTAATTATTTTTAATTTTTAGACACAGGGTCTCACTATGTTGTGCAGTCTGGTCTCAAAGCAAAATCCTCTTTAACTTCATCTCTTCCCTGGACAGCCCCTGTACCTTTTTGCTGTAATTAATTGCTGGCTGTCCCTGCCATATTTTCAAGTTGGGGCCGGGCTTTTACTCACATCCCAATATTCACAGAGCCTGGAGCAGGTATGGGTGCTCTCTTAGTTTCTCACTGGCACTTCTAGACAATTTTGGCTCTTGTCTCCCTTTAAAAGCTCAATGCCTTTGAAAAGTAAGGCAACAGACAATAGACTCATTATCTTTGCTGTTAGAGTCCTTCATCCAATTTCAGGCCTTTCCGGAACCTGATCCCTCATTCACAGATGATCCCAGCACTGGCTCGCTGTCGTCTTTGCTACTATTTCTCTTTTTATTCTCAGTGATTTCTCAATGGATATCCATGGGAGTGATTATTCAACACTCTGTCCTTGAAATACTTTGCCTTCCTTACTTCCAAAGATGTTTTACCCCATCTGACCTTAGCACTCATTACCATATAATTTTCAAAACCTGTACTACATAACTAAATTTTGATCCCCTGCATATACTTTCCCAATCACTATTATCTATGTTTTCAACTTTCCAAGTTTACTATGGTGTTCTCATTTCAATGACATCCAGACAGTTAATTTATTGACCTCAGCACTTTTTAAGAGAACATAAGCCCCCATAGTATTCCCCCTTTCTTTGCAAAGGGTCCATGATCCACCATGCTAATTATTTGGCAAATCTCAAAAACTAGTTAATTCCACCTCTTCAACTGTACTTCTGCACACAAGCACCAAGCAGGGTGGGAGAAAAACAAACAAAAAATGCCTGGTGTCTGTTAAAATTTATGACCACAAATCTCAAGTGGGCTCTCGTTACATCCCAGTATTTTTACTGCATTTCTTTACCCAATTCACTTTCTTACTCTCCTAGCAGATATTTTGTATCTCTCGCCCTCTCTCGTTAAACCTTCAGATCTTCCTTCTCAGCTAATTACCTGTAGGATAATTCAGAAGAGAATTACTTCAGAGTCCCAAAACCAAATCTTCCAAGCTATTTGCATCTGTACATCTATACTCTCTCTTCTTTCCTAGGAAAATTAATGAACTGGTAAAAAATATCCAAGGCAATTTTGAAGAACAAGCAGGAGGTTTTACATTCAAGATATTAATATTTATTATAAACCTATAGTAGTTAAGAGAACATAGCATTGACACAACAAATCGATAGCGAAAACAATGAGAATTGGAATGGAAAAGTGCAGAAACAGATCAAACATGTGCATTCATCTGATTTATGAAAAGGTGATGCTGCAGTGCAATGGAGACGGTATGGTCTTTTTAATAAACAGTGTGGGTCAAATGGGTATACACATGGAAAAAATAATCTTGAACTCTCATTTACACCATACTAAAAACTAATTTCAGATGAATCGTAATCTAAATACAAAAACAAAACAATAAAACTCTTAGGGATAAAAGACCATGGTCATGATCTTGGGGTAGGGAGAATCTCTTAAATAGGACATAAAAAGAAAAAGATTATAACATGGATTACAAGAAAATTAAAACCTCCCGTTAATAAAAAAAATGAAAAATCGCTAAAAAAAACCAAACACACCAAAACCACTAAAAAACATACACTAAAAAACCAAAACACTGTTGAGGAGAGTGAAGAAGCAAGCCACAGTAGGGGAAAAGAGACTTGCAATACAAATATCTAACAAAGGAATAGAATATATAACTACCACAAATTAATAAGGCAGAAACAATCATCTAAAGAGAAATTAGGCAAAATACTTGAATAAATACTTCTTTAAAGGGGATATAAAATGGGTCCATAAAAATGTGAAAAGATGCTCAACTTTATTAGTTGTCAGGAAAATGCAAATTTAAACCATAATGATGTAGCAGTGCATAATGACCAGAGTGGCTAAAATGAAAAAAGATAATACTAAATGTTGACAAAGATGTGAAACAAGTAGAACATTCCATACAGTTACTGGTGAGAGTACAAACTGGTAGAATCACTTTGGGAAACTTGAGCAGTATCTACCAAAACTGAACACAGACATCCCTTTAACCCAGGATTTCCACTTCTTGATAGATATCTAAGAGAAATGCATAACCTATGTTCACAAAAAACATATACAAGTATTTTTATGGTAGCACTGTTTATAATAACCCAACTATGAAAACAACCCAAATGTCTATTAACAGTAGAATGGGTAAATAAATTGTAATATGCTTATGCAAAGGAATACTATTCAATGATAGTGAGTATGTACAGGCAACAACATGGAAAAATTTTACAAACATAATGCTAAAAGAAACCAGACATAGAAGAGTACCCTCTCTGTAATTCCATTTGTATAAAGTTCAAAACCAGGCAAAATTAATTTAAGGTATGAGAAACTGGGAGAGTGATTATCCATGGTGAGGGATACCAGTTGGGTAGGGGGTTGTTTTAAGCACAGTGAATTTATCAAATATCCTATTAGAAATAAACATTATTTGAGTTTCCTTCACATTTGTTAACAGTGATCATCATGGTATTTCAAGTGGGATAAATGAGTAACAAAATAGTAAAAACACAAAATTACTATCAAAGATACAAATTCAATTCAGATTGTCAACCTTTCCTCCTCTAAAGTCTGCATAAAACATGTCTAGGTTTTGCAAAACTTATAATTCACTTTATGAAGCCTTCACTATATTCTCTTTTAAGAAAAAAATGATATTTTTAATCCATATCTTTATTTGCAAAACTGTAAAAAAAGAAGTGAGTAAATTACTTTGAAATAAATCAAACACAGGCAGTCACTTTCCCAATCAACCTTTTATCTCATCAGGACAACTGTGAACACCTAGAATGCTGTTTCTCAAAGCCCAGTGCATAGAATCCCTACATCACTACCCCTCTTAGAATCTGTTGCCACATCAATATAAAATGGGCATGACAAGAGCAACTATCTAAAGTTGTTGCAAGGATTAAATGAGACAATGCATATAAAATTCATTACCCCAGAACACAGTGACTGCTCAGCAGACGCTAACATTTAATACTAACAGTCTTAATTTATTTTTGATGATGTCATCATCACAATAACCTGACATGCTCATTAAATCACTATTGATTTCTAGACTCAACCCCGGACCTACCAAAGCTGAAGGGCCCTGAAATCTGCATTTTAACTAGCATTTGGACTGATTCTTTTTGCACACTACAACTTGAGAACTACTATCCAGAGATTAGGGCTCACTTCTTGTTTCTTCTTCATGGCTCCAATGCAGGGGTCTGTACACATGAACGCTTATTGACAGGCTGACTGATAATCAATATTGCCAGACTAGTATGATGTAAATTATTAAGGGAATCTGCAATTTGTTACAGATTCGTGTAGTAAAAGAAAATGGATTTTTAATTTTTGACTCCAGAAAAATATAAAGGGAGGGCTGTTTTGTTAATAGAATCAAAAGTAACTTCAGCTTCAATTATGTAAACTCTTTGTCATGTGAAGATATTTGAATCATGTCACACTTCACATAACCCATTTTATTTCCCTTAAAATAGTTTAGTTCATTTCAGTTTTTTTTTATGGCTTCCTTTTTTAATTTAGAAGATCCACAAGGCATAGACATGTGTTCATAGAGAGAACAAATGACCATATTCTCTGGGACCTGCATTATTAACTCATTTATGCCTAGTGTTCCATTATTGGAATTCTAAGCATGTGGGAGTAATTTATATACTACTGCCCAAGATCATTGCCAGGGGCTGATTGCAAAAATTCAAAACATTGCAACCTCAGGCATAAATGGGTTAATAATGAGTCCAGAACTGGGCTTCCATAACTGCTTTATTTCTTACATCTGTGTTCATTTAAATGAAGGTTCCAGCAATTTGTCTAAAAGGAGAAATTGCAAGTGAAAAAGTATTCAAATGTTTAATTCAAATAGAAATTTAAATCAAATCACAGTAGCTATTTGTACTTTTTGTCTATAAAAGTTATACAACCTGTTGCACTAAATAAAAATTTTTAATGAGAAAAGAAATCTCATCAGATGTTTGATTGCATTGAAATTACAGAGACGTTAATCTTTCACCAAAGAGAAAAATTAGGAAATATTTCCAGCTTAGTTTCTCTTTCATTTTATTAAGTAAACATAATGGTTAAAAGATAAAACCTACATATTGTTTCAGTGCAAGATAATGTTTAAGAACAAATTTTCTTGTTTGGTGAAAAGCCTTGAACATATGCTTTATTGTGAAAAATAAATTCATATAGTTCAGTTACTTATTTTCAACCACAGTTGGCTATCTGTGTAAATCTAAATTCTATAAGTTAGTTGAAGAGGTCCAGTGAGGCTTTGTGAGACATTTATTTCATGAGCCATATATAAGGGTGTTTGGAATCAGACATGAAGAACTTGACCTCTAGGCCACCAGATGGACTAGTTATTTTCCAGCCAATAATCTACTCCTTTATAAATATCAAATACCCTTGATTTTCTGATGCCACAGTTAACCTTTAAAATGACCCTGAAGTACAGTGAGACTTTTCTCATTCTCAGGAGAGGGAAGGACAATAATTTTTTTCTTTTCTGGCAATGATGCTAAGTTCTGACAGTTTGCTAAGCAGTGGAAATCATGCTGTAAGCAAAAGTCTCTGCGAGACAGAGATTCTTACAAAATAGTCTTTATTTTTCCAATGGATACTGGCTACTTTTATAGGATCCAATTCCAAGAACAACTTCACAGAAGCAAGGGTTCCCTGTCCTGCAACTGAAATCACAAGACATAGATTGAAATGGCTAAGGATTTTCTTCTACCTCTGTCCAGCTTAACCCCTGCCCTTCCTAGTTTATCTTCGTTCCACAGGCTGAATTTGTACATCCAAATCAATTACAGTAGCCTGTGTTCTGATAGGATAGAGTAAAAATATGAAAATGTTTGAACAATTTAAGTAGAAGATTTAGCTACTTAGCAAAGCAGCAACAATATGAAAAGCACTTTACTTAAGCATCCAAATAGTCTGATTTCTGTTGGTTAGTCAGAAAATTCCAGACCTGTGAAGAGCAACAGAAAACTGCAGATGAAGTTTGACTCCTCTTGAGCACTTACCATTGTATTTCCTTGCATTTTGAGAACTGCTTTGCTAATTAAATATGGCCTTCATTAGGGGGTCTCATAAGAGAAAATGACCCATCAAAGACCGAAGCAGAGTCATACATAAACTGGTCATATTTTACATTACTCTATATCTGTTTCGTTGGTTCATTTTCTCTGATAATTCTAGATTTAAGAATGCACCAAGAGTAAAAAAAATTTTTGATCTTTCTTATCAGTGATGGTGAGTGTGAATTCTAGTATGACATCTGAAACAAAATCTGAGCATGCTCAAAAGTAGAATAGATTTGAAACAGGAGACCATTTCTGGAAATCTCTGGTTTGTGGGTATTTATACGTTCTCATCTCATTTAGAAACTTATAATTGGCTCTGTAAAAAGGAAAACTAGACTACACTAGTGACTAGAAAATTAAGATCATTAACATTGTATCCATTTTAACACGGTACCCCAATACCATACATCATTCATTCATTCTTCATTCATTCAGTTGTTCCCCATACTTTCTGTTACTCCCTTAAATTTGGAGCTGGATCTTCATTAAATGCTTAAGATTTCTCCAAGGAATAAATATAAGAAGTAGGAACACTTACTTTCCAGTAATAAACTGACTCCTGGATGGTGTGCAAATAGGCTGGACATAGTAGTTCTCCAGTTTAACTCCTTCGGCAGCGAGCTTGTCAAGAGTAGGTGTTTTAATCTCAGATCCGTGGTAACCCACATCTCTAAATCCCTGATCATCCGCTAGGATGAAAATGAGATGGGGCTGGGAGGTGGAAGTTGTGCTGGGCTCTAGTTTCTCTCCAGCTTGAGCTAGTAAGGCCCCTTCTTCCTCCTCTTCTAAGGCCTGGCCCCAGGACAGGTAACCATAAGTGAGGAGGCAGAGGATCCAGAATCCTGCCAGCGCCCCCATTGCTAGCATCTTTCCAGGACAGACACAGGCCTGTGGAGAAGGCGGAGGCGGATGCCCCGCACAGCCCCTGGGAGCCATTCACTCAGGTCCCAGGTGAGACTCCACGCGGAGAACCACGCGCCCCGCGCCGCTGCGGGCGCACACATGCACCCAACAGACGGTGAAGACTCTCCACCTGGCAAGAAATCCTCCTCTCCTCTCAGCTGTCACCATGTCCGACAACTTTAATCTTCCAGAAGTGATGGCTTAATGGATGGGACTCCGGAAGAACAAGGAGGGCTCGCTCTTCTCCAGCACATTTCACTTTCTCCTCCTCCTCCCCCCTCCCTAGAGCAGCTTCCACCAAGGAAAAAAAAAAGAAAAAAGTTAATATCTCCACCCAAAAGTTCTCTGGAGAAAAAAACCAAGCAAGGAATTGAGAATCACAGTGGACAGGAACTTTTCGTGGCCAGAGCGCCCTCGACGTTGGGGAGCGAGGCTGACTCTCCTGGGAGTGCTGGTACGGAGGGCGGCGGGATCGGCCGTCTGTCCTGCGGTCCCCACACCTGGAAAGAACTGCGAAGTGGACGCGTCGCGTCTGGCTCTGATCAGACAGATAAACTGCCGTAGTGGACCGGCCTCCTGATCACCTTCTCCACTTTCCCAGGGCTATTTTCCCCAGTCCTTTCCTAGGCGTTTGCCAATCTCCCCGACACTCACCAGGCGGCGAAGTGAGGAAGAAGCCGTTTCCTGATCTCCCTCCACCTCCGCAGAAACTCCGGGCAGCAATTCCTTTTCCCCGCTGCTAGGGAGCCTGAAGGCCAAAGCCGGGTCCCTAGCCCCGCGGCCGGTCCGCGCGGAGCCCGCTTGGTCTTTGCGTAGTTGGCGCACCCGGCGCAGGCGCTGCAAACTGCGTGCGTTTTCTCAGCTAACTTATTTAGCTTTGGCACTCCGAGTTCTTTTGCCTCCTCCCTCTTTTCTCTCCAGTGAATCACAGAACGGTACTTTCTTCCTGAGCTCCCCCGGGAAGAGGGGGTGGGGGAAAAGGACTGTTTAGAGGCTCGATCTTTCCTTTTTCTTTTCCGGGAGGTGGATGGCCAAGGCAGAGGAGGCTTTGCCAGAGAGAGAGCTGCGTGCTGCTCCAGCCCAGCGGGATTCCGGGGGATCCGCCTGGGCTACCGCGTCCCAAGAGTGTCGCCTCCTGCCCATCACCCCGCTAGAGGGAAAGGACGGCGGCGCGAATGGGGAAGGGTAAAGCGGGCACTTCTTTTCGTGGGGCTGTTGGTGAAGAGCCCCGTCTCCCATCCCTAAAGTTGCGCTTGCAAACTTTTTCTAGCTTCTGGAGGGAGTGAGAGAGAAGGAGCAGGAATAAAAACAAAATGCGTATGACACTCTTTCCTCTTTCCAACTTCCTTTGCAGGTTTTCCTTTACTAGTCCCCCCACCCCCATCATTTTCCTATTCCTTTTGTCCCTACCTTTTTTTTTTTTTTTTTCAGTAACGATGACAAATTTTTAAGTTTTATTTCCTCTCCCAATAGCTGGCTTTTACAGCCTGATTCTTCGTTACCCTTTCCCTATGTGAAAATACTGGAATTGCCCGCTCCCTCTTACCTCTCCCCTAACTTACCCACAGGGTGTCTCCAGCCAAAAGCCTGGAGAGGAAGAGTTATGCATTTCTCCTTCAAGAACCCCGAAGCCAGTCTGCATTCCTGCATTAAAGAAGCCAGTGTTTCCCATCCAGTAATTCAGGGAGCTTCATCATTTTTTTTCCTTCTTTCTTTTTTACCATGTGGAGGAAAACCATTGTAAAAACTTATCTTGGTTGTGAAAATACTCTTGATTTTACTAGAGTCATAGAGTTTTAAAGTCCTGCTCAAAGGCAGCAGAGGGATGTATAGTATAGTCTCTATAGAAGAGGCAATGAATGCCAAGAGCCACTGAGATATTTTTTTCTACCACCAAATTTATTCAACAGTTACTTACTGAATACCTACTGTGGGCTGGCACATAACATGTCAGATTCTCTCAATTGACTGAAACATAAATCTAGGTTTCATTTAGCCATTTATTTCTAATTCTCTCCTGTTGCTAAAGTTCCTGCTGAGTTCCCAGGCAAAACTTTGTGAAATGGGAACTTTGAAAGGCACGATGGTGCTCCATGAAGTTAACCTTGCTAGCTGCTGTAGGCCTTCTGGTCTCTGTTCTTCCTTGCAGCCCTTCTGGCTAAGCTGGGGAGAGATAGTCAGTTTTAGAAGCCATGTTCAGAAATGTGAGTTTAGCAATTCTGTAAATTAAGTCACCAAATATGTAATGAGAGTACTGAGTGTCAGGGGATTGAAAAGCATTGAGAGGTAGGGCCCTAGGCTTAATGGGCCTAGCCAGGTGCTTGAATGGGAAAGATGCAAACATTCTGGTCAATCTAGCCTTTTATTTGGGGAGATAGTGACTTCTTGTGACATAGCACAAGAAGTATCCATGTTCTGTGCAAGAAGGAGACACATTTTCAGTTGAGGTTCCAAGCAATAATAATAAAAAACAATCAAAATGTATGGAATACTTACCATGTGCTAACCATAGTATTCTATATACTGATACATACACACATATACAGTCGCATCTATCAGGGATTAGTTTCAGAACCCTGAGGGATACCAAAATTCATGGATGTTCAAGTCCCTTATGTAAAATGGTGCACTATGTGTATAAAACCTACATATTAATGTATCTTCTATGCTTTAAAACATCTCTATATTACTTATGATACCTAATACAATGTAAATGCTATGAAAATAGTTGTTGGACTGTATTATTTTTATTGTTGTATTGTTATTTTTTTTTCTTCTTTCCTTGAATGTTTCCAGTGTATAGTTGGTTGAGTCCCATAATGTAGACCCTGCGAATACAGAGGACTGACTGGGTATGTTTGTTTATATAGTGCTATATACAGTTTATTTCTTTTCCATCTATATCAACCTTATGAGGTATTCTTCCACTCAACAAGTATTTGGGGAGCTGGGCCAATGCTAGAGGACAGGAAGGTAATGATGCAATAAATCAGTCTCTGCTCTGTTGGAATATACACCAGAGTGAAGAAGAAATACATTCATCAATGAATCACCCTACAACTCCAATAGTTACTTACTGTATTACTTACTATACAAATGTTCTGAAAAAAGGAACATTTTCAAAGAAATTTTAAAACAAAAAACGATTTAGACTGGGTACAATTACTGGGTGAGGTGGTTCAGGGGAGTGATATTTAAACTGAGGGCATGTTATTTTGTTTGCCGTTGGCTTTCTATAGAAAATTTAGACTTAGAAATCTGACTTCAAAGCTGATGGTTTACAAAAGATATTCTTCCTACAAATGGGCTTTAAAGTCTTTGCCAGCCACATAGCACAGAGACAACACAGCTGCCAGAGTTAGAATTCTAATCCCCACATGAGGCATGCAGACACTCTACGCTCAGGATAGAAGGACTGAATTCAGGCCCTAAAAGGTCATTTCTGGATTAAACAGCACTAACCCTAAGAAAGACTAAGAACTACTAACAATTAGTAATAAGAGCCGAGAAACAAGAATGGCCATGCCACAGTAGACCAAATGAGATGTGACTCAAAGAGGAAAATCAAAGTCAGCTGAGTGCCCTACCCACAGTAGGTAGGACTTATTTCACATCCCTGAGGAAGACACGGGGAATGACATCAGAGTCTATTGAACACCCTAAGCTTTATAGTTTATATACTGGTATTATAAGTACATATGCTTTGCATTTCTCATTATAGGTTTGGGTTTCATGCGCTGTAAGCAACAGTTTTAGTGTTCTCATGAAGTGTCCAGTTAAAGACCCTCTGTAACTTACTAGATCTTTCCTGATTTTAGAATCAGCATTTTAGTATTCAGGCATCAGCTGCCCTTAGGCTTATTTCAGCTTGAATATGCTTATATTACACATAAACTGTAGTTGTGGAATGGTTATATAAAAATTTAAGCTGTTATTTGATTCAGAAAAAAAAGGAAAGAAAAATAGAATTGCCTAGAAATGAAATCTGTATGGACTGAGTATTCAAGTAAGGGTTAATCAGGAGGTGAGGTGAAGCTATGCCTTAAAGTATGATAAAAATTTAGGAAGGAGGAGAGAAAGTTAAAGGAAGGATATTTCAAATTAAAGAAAAGAGAAAGCCAGTTTGCTGAACACATGTTTGGATTGGAAGATTATGGGAAACAATGTTAGGAAATTCAGGTGACACCAGATATGAGGGACTTTGAAAAAGTATGAAGAGCTGGAACTTGATTCTGAGGTCATTAGGAGGAATGAAATCCTTTGAGTAGAACATAACATGACAAACTATTTTAGTGAGGTGATTTCTGGGATGGATTTATAGGGATAGAAGTTACAAATGAGCTGCTTCAGTCCATCAAAATTTGAAGAGTTGTAACTTTACTCTGAGAGTACTGAACCTGTTGACTTCTTATTGGGTTTTTTTTTTTCTTGATTAGAGTAAGACATGATGAAAAATATAGGAAAAGAATTCCCAGGACATTTTCAGGGAGAGACTTGAGGGAGTAAAGACTAGAATCACACAATTGCCACGGTGTGTAAAAACTGTACAGCAAAATATTCCTTAGGTTAAAAAACTATGCTTTGGTTTTGTTACCTGATGGGAGAAGAGCATTTATTAAAAACTTAGATTTAATCAACTAAGAGGGGGGCAAAAGGGACAAAAGAATAAGGGACCCAAGATAGGACCTTGTTTAATTGGATAATAGAAAAGAATGAGTAGGTTAAATTGGGAGAATGGCCGTTAACAAAAAGGGATGGTATGAATAAGGCACAACAGGGTGCCCGGGGTTCCTCAAGGGACAGACCAAGGGTACTGGATGCCCAGAGGTTGGAGGGTGGAGTGACGGATTGGGTATGGGGAGCCTGTCAGTCAACATAAAAGCTAAGAAAATCACAAGCAAGCAGTAAAGTGGGTAGCTAAACAGTATTTCTTTGAAACATCGATGTTAAATCTCACCGTTAAAATGACATTTCCCACAGCCTCCCAATATGCATGGACTGAATAGCTTATGAATTTCATATACCTAAAAAAATATTTGAAGGTATGCCTAGTAGGACAGCATGCCTGCCACACCATTCCCATTTCTTCTGTAGGTACTTATTTTCAGCTAAACATATACTCAAATTTCAAAAAGATACAGCTAAGTGTAGGTTTAAAAATAGTGAAAACAGCCAATCCAGAGATTTACAGACTATTAAAAAGATTTAAAACCCGATTGCTGCTTGGTTGCATTTATAAGTACATTAAATACTCAAAATGAAGGAATGTCACTGTGTTTAAATTAATACACAAATAGTCTAAAACAGATGTTTACCCTAATATGATCATTTTGACATGAGATATAATATGACATGACATATAATAAACTCCTTATTAAGTATTATTAACTCTTTACTAGGCTATGGAACTTAGGCTGCTTTGAGCCATTAAGTTATCACAAGCAACATCCACTTTCTGATCACGACCAAGTAGGATGGCTAACTTGCTGGTTTAGTAAATGTTAAGTTGAGTTTGCTTCCGATATGGTTTGGCTGTGTGCCCACCCAAATCTCATCTTGAATTGTAGCTCCCATAATTCTCATGTGTCATGGGAGGGACCTGGTGGGAGATAATTGAATCATGGGGGAGGGTCTGTCCCGTGTTGTTCTCATGACTGTGAATAAGTCTCACAAGATCTAATGGTTTTATAAAGGGGAGTTCTCCTGCACATACTCTCTTTCCTGCTGTCATGTAAGCCATGACTTTGCTCCTCCTTGGCCTTCCACCATGACTGTGAGGCCTCCCCAGCCATGTGGAACTGTGAATCAGTTAAACCTCTTTTATTTATAAATTACACAGTCTCAGGTATGTCTTTATTAGTAGCATGAGAACAGACTAATATAGTAAATTGACACCAGAAAAGTTGGATGCTGCTGTAAAGATACCTGAAAATGTGGAAGCAACTATGGAACTGGGTAACAGGAAGAGGTTGGAACAGTTTGGAGGGCTCAGAAGAAGACATGAAAATGTGGAAAAGTTTGGAACTTCCTAGAGACTTGTTGAATGGTTTTGACCAAAAATGCTGATAGTGATATAGACAATGAAGTCCTCATTGAGGTGGTCTCAGATGGAGATGAAAAACTTGTTGGGAATGGAGTAAAGGTCACTCTTGCTATGCAAAGACACTGGCAGCATTTTGCCCCTACCCTAGAGATTTGTGGATCTTTGAACTTGAGAAAGATGATTTAGAGTATCTGGGGGAAGAAATTTCTAAGCCACAAAGCATTCAAGAGGAAGTAGAGCATTAAAGTTTGGAAAATCTGCAGCCTAACTATGCAATAGAAAAGTAAAACCCATTTTCTGGGGAGAAATTCAAGTCTGCTGCAGAAATTTGCACAAGTAACAAGGAGCAGAATGTTAATCACCAAGACAATGGGGGAAATGTCTCCAGGGCATGTCAGAGACCTCTGTGGCAGACCCTTCCATCACAGGCCTGGAGGCCTAGGAGGAAAATATGGTTTCCTGGGCTAGGCCCAGGGCCCCCCTTTCTGTGTGCAGCCTCAGGACATGGTGCCCTGTGTTCCAGCTGTATCAGCTCCAGCTGTGGCTAAAAGGGGCCAACATACAGCTCAGGCTGTTCTACAGACAGTGCAAGCCCCAAGCTTTGGTGGCTTACACGTGGTGTTGGGCCTGTGGGTACACAGAAGTCAAGAATTGAGCTTTGGGAACCTCCACCTAGATTTCAGAGGATGTATGGAAATGCCTCGATGCTGCAGGCATGGACCCCTCAGGGAGAACCTCTGCTAGGGCAATGTGGAAGGGAAACGTGGGGTTGGAGCCCCCACACAGAGTCCCCACTGGGGCATGGCCTAGTGAATCTGTAAGAAGAGGACCACCGTCCTCCAGACCCCAGAATGGTAGATCCACTGAGAGCTTGCACCATGTGCCTGGAAAAGCTGCAGACACTCGATGCCAGCCTCTGAAAGCAGCCAGGAGTGGGACTGTACCCTGCAAAGCCACAGGGGTGGAGCTGCCCAAGGCCATGGGAGCCCACCTCTTACATCAACGTCCTCTGGATGTGAGACACGGAGTCAAATGAGATCATTTTGGAACTTTAAGATGGAATGACTGTCCTGTTGGAATTTGGACTGGCATGGGGCCTATAGCCTCTTTGTTTTGGCCAATTTCTTCCATTTGGAACTGTTACATTTACCCAATGCCTGTACCCCTATTGAATGAAGTAACTAACTTGCTTTCGATTTTACAGGCTCATAGGCAGAAGGGACTTGCCTTGTCTCAGTTGAGACTTTGAACTGTGAACTTTTGAGTTAATGCTGAAATGAGTTAAGACTTTTGGGGGCTGTTGGGAGGCATGATTGCTTTTAAAATGTGAGGACATGAGATTTGGGAGGGGCCAGGTTTGGAATGATATGATTTGGCTGTGTCCGCACCCAAATCTCATGTTAAATTGTAGCACCCATAATTCCCATGTTTCATGGGAGGGACCCAGTGGGAGGTAATTGAATCATGGGGGCAGCTCTTTCCTGTGCTGCTATCTCATGATAGTAAATAAGGCTCATGATCTCTGATGGTTTTATAAAGGGGAGTTCCTCTGAATACACTCTCTTGCCTGCTGGCATGTAAGACATAACTTTGCTCCTTATTCGCCTTCTGCCATGATTGTGAGGCCTCCCTAGCCACGTGAAACTGAGTCCAGTAAACCTCTTTCCTATATGAATTACCCAGTCTCAGGTATGTCTTTATTAGCAGCATGAGAATAGACTAATACAGCTTCCTTTTTTTGGAAAGTCTCTGTTGATTAGTAACAGTAATAATTTGTCAAGAAAAGATGAATGATGTGGGAGAATTAAAGTTCCAAACATGTATAAATGTAGCTACCCAAAAGCAGCAAGGTTTTTGACATCAGAAACTCAGACAATTTAAACTGTCAAAAAGATCTTTCTTTCATTCAACAAACATCTTTACCCAAAAGCAGACTTTTAAACAAAATTTTTATGATGAGAAAATCCTAAAATTTCTACATTTTAAAAATCCACTCCTATTGCTTAAATTGTAAATAAAATTCTATATTATTTACATAGAAATTTTCTGTTTAGACTATCAAGTCCTGAACCTATCTGGACATTAGAATCCATTCAGGATCTTTTTTTTTTTTTTTTTTTTTTTTTTTTTGAGACAGAGTTACACTCTTGTTGCCCAGGCTGTAGTGCAATGGTGCAATCTCAGCTCACTGCAGCCTCCATCTCCTGGGTTCATGTGATTCTCCTGCCTCAACCTCCCCAGCAGCTGGGATTACAGGTGCCCGCCACCATGCTCAGCTAACTTTGTATTTTTAGTAGAGACGGGGTTTCACCATGTTGGGCAGGCTGGTCTCAAACTCCTGACCTCAGGTGATCTGCCCATCTCAGCTTCCCAAAGTGTTGGGATTACAGGAGTGAGCCACCATGTCTGTCCTAAGGATCTTTTTTTAAAAAAGAAAATTCCCAGACCCAAGACCTAAATCAAAATACCCATAGTCTGCAACTATTTATGTTACAGATAGTGCTGCAGATGATCCTGTGTGTGTTGAGTTTTGAAAACCACTGATTTACAATTTAAATCATGAAAAAGTTTTAATTGGACTGCTTACTTGGTAAAGACGGAGTCATTTACCAAATGCAATATGAGAAACAGCTGAAAAACAAATGGGCAAGCTAGAGTCGAAACATCTGAGGGCTGAGCACCTAATTTCTGTCAGATGGCAGGAAGCAGCAAGGTTGAGATATGGCCAAGTCACCAGGATCAAGAAAAGAAGGGAGAGGCATTAAAGCCTAAGTGGGTGGATGCCAGAGGCAACAGTCCATGCAGGCATTGCTGAATTCAGATACATTCAAACAAAAGACCAGGAAACGAGCTAAATTCTAAATCCAGCTGCTCCAAAGTGAAGTCTTTAGGCAAGATTCCTGGCATTCTCCTTGTGGCATGGGCCAGAGGTGGGAGGCACCAACCTCTTGAGATTAAAGTGGGCTGCTGTCTAGTTTCAATGGGTCTAGACAGATGTGGAATCCAGGGTCAGGCTAATCCATAAGAGTAAGTGCCTGATGTGGCATCCAGGAAGCAGTAAAACTAAGCTTCATAAGTGAAGAAGAAATAAAATACTTTACAGACAAGCAAATGCTGAGAGATTTTGTCACCACCAGGCCTGCCCTACAAGAGCTCCTGAAGGAAGCACTAAACATGGAAAGGAACAACCAGTACCAGCCACTGCAAATACATGCCAAATTGTAAAGACCATCAAGGCTAGGAAGAAACTGCATCAACTAATGAGCAAAATAACCAGCTAACATCATAATGACAGGATCAAATTCACACATAACAATATTAACTTTAAATGTAAATGGGCTAAATGCTCCAATTAAAAGACACAGACTGGCAAATTGGATAAAGAGTCAAGACCCATCAGTGTGCTGTATTCAGGAAACCCATCTCACGTGCAGAGACACACATAGGCTCAAAATAAAGGGATGGAGGAAGATCTACCAAGCAAATGGAAAACAAAAAAAGGCAGGGGTTGCAATCCTAGTCTCTGATAAAACAGACTTTAAACCAACAAAGACCAAAAGAGACAAAGAAGGCCATTACATAATGGTAAAGGGATCAATTCAACAAGAAGAGCTAACTATCCTAAATATATATGCACCCAATACAGGAGCACCCAGATTCATAAAGCAAGTCCTTAGTGACCTACAAAGAGACTTAGACTCCCACACAATAATAATGGGAGACTTTCACACCCCACTGTCAACATTAGACAGATCAACGAGACAGAAAGTTAACAAGGATACCCAGGAATTGAACTCAGCTCTGCACCAAGCAGACCTAATAGACATCTACAGAACTCTCCACCCCAAATCAACAAAACATACATTCTTTTCAGCACCACACCACACCTACTCCAAAATTGACCACATAGTTGGAAGTAAAGCACTCCTCAGCAAATGTAAAAGAACAGAAATTATAACAAACTGTCTCTCAGACCACAGTGCAATCAAACTAGAACTCAGGATTAAGAAACTCACTCAAAACCACTCAACTACATGGAAACTGAACAACCTGCTCCTGAATGACTACTGGGTAAATAATGAAAGGAAGGCAGAAATAAAGATGTTCTTTGAAACCAACGAGAACAAAGACACAACATACCCGGATCTCTGGGACACATTCAAAGCAGTATGTAGAGGGAAATTTATAGCACTGAATGCCCACAAGAGAAAGATCTAAAGGATCCTTCCACAAAGGAAAGATCTAAAATTGACACCCCAACATCACAATTAAAAGAACTAGAAAAGCAAGAGCAAACACATCCAAAAGCTAGCAGAAGGCAAGAAATAACTAAGATCAGAGCAGAAATGAAGGAAATAGAGACACAAAAAACCCTTCAAAAAATTAATGAATCCAGGAGCTGGTTTTTTGAAAAGATCAACAAAATTGATAGACCACTAGCAAGACTAATAAAGAAGAAAAAAGAGAAGAATCAAATAGACACAATAAAAAATGATAAAGGGGATATCACCACCGATCCCACAGAAATACAAACTACCATCAGAGAATACTACAAACACCTCTACACAAATAA
Organism: Homo sapiens; assembly: GCF_000001405.40. Classification (NCBI taxonomy): domain Eukaryota; kingdom Metazoa; phylum Chordata; class Mammalia; order Primates; family Hominidae; genus Homo; species Homo sapiens. Next base: position 113,989,418 of record NC_000004.12, read on the forward strand.
ACTAGAAAATCTAGAAGAAATGGATAAATTCTTCGACACATACATCCTCCCAAGACTAAACCAGGAAGAAGTTGAATCTCTGAATAGACCAATAACAGGCTCTGAAATTGAGGCAATAATCAATAGCTTACCAACCAAAAAAAGTCCAGGACCAGATGGATTCACAGCCGAATTTTACCAGAGGTACAAAGAGGAGCTGGTACCATTCCTTCTGAAACTATTCCAATCAATAGAAAAAGAGGGAATCCTCCCTAACTCATTTTATGAGGCCAGCATCATCCTGATACCAAAGCCGGGCAGAGACACAACCAAAAAAGAGAATTTTAGACCAATATCCTTGATGAACATTGATGCAAAAATCCTCAATAAAATACTGGCAAACCGAATCCAGCAGCACATCAAAAAGCTTATCCATCATGATCAAGTGGGCTTCATCCCTGGGATGCAAGGCTGGTTCAATATATGCAAATCAATAAATGTAATCCAGCATATAAACAGAACCAAAGACAAAGACCACATGATTATCTCAATAGATGCAGAAAAGGCCTTTGACAAAATTCAACAACCCTTCATGCTAAAAACTCTCAATAAATTATGTATTGATGGGACGTATCTCAAAATAATAAGAGCTATCTGTGACAAACCCACAGCCAATATCATACTGAATGGGCAAAAACTGGAAGCATTCCCTTTGAAAACAGGCACAAGACAGGGATGCCCTCTCTCACCACTCCTATTCAACCTAGTGTTGGAAGTTCTGGCCAGGGCAATTAGGCAGGAAAAGGAAATAAAGTGTATTCAATTAGGAAAAGAGGGAGTCAAATTGTCCCTGTTTGCAGATGACATGATTGTGTATCTAGAAAACCCCATCATCTCAGCCCAAAATCTCCTCAAGCTGATAAGTAGAACATATTATACACCAATAATAAATACTGGTTAATGAAAGAAAGGAGAGACAAAAAATAAATCTCATGCTATATGAAAATAATATGTGAACATAAACTTTTCAAAATGAAATAAAGGGTAAGCATTCTGAGTAATAAACAACATTTGAATAAATGTGTTGATATGTGTTGCATAATTGTGTAGATTTCAGGGTAAAGCCCTGTTTTCTTTCCAAGCTCATTTGTACTTATTAATACTTTGACACTTTGGAACTGTATCTTTGTTAATGCCTGTGAATTCACATATAAGAAAAAAGCATTAGTTATCTATTCCCAGAGACCTTATCCTAAAAAAATTGATCCGCATCTTATAGCACATGCCAAAAGAAAAACATATCTAGTTGAAATTGGAAAGCTAAATGAAAAAATATCAAATTAAAGAAACCCAACAGAAAATTTAATTGAAATATATGTGGGTAAACTGTTCTATTTTCAGTTTTTAAATGATACAGAAATTTCAATAGCACATGATTGATTATAAAATACATTAAATAGACTATTAAATCAAAAGTCTTAACTGAGGTGCCAAGATTCAACGCTGTGATTTTCCAAAGAAGTGTGCCAGAACAAGGTGCCAATTTTCAAAGATTATTAAAAACCAGTTGGACAACTCTGAAAATTCCTATTCATATCAAGGTAATAAAAGGGTCACATCACAGAGGATTTGTGAGAGACATTTTTTAAAAGTTAATGTGCCCTGAGTACACCTACACCTGCCTACATAGTCCAAGATGGAAGGTGCTGACCTGACCCATGAAATTCAAGTGGCATCTGGCTTCTGCCTAGGAAAGCCTCAGGACTGGCTGCTGCTGAAGCACAGGAAGGGAGGAGGTTACAGAAGCTGGGTAGCTCTCCACGAGTTTGTCGGGGTGAAGGATACTTGAGTGTTCCCTGGAAACCAGGTGTGGGCCACATGTGAAAAAAGCTGGCCTGGGGTTGCCTTCGGTCCTGTGCAGGAGGGCTTCTTGCAATCTTGAACAGACCTCTACAAAGAGAATCAAGGGTAGTTCTCCACTCTAAAGTGTTGACTCCACAGAATATGCTTGGAGATACCTTGTCCCATTTCAAGGGAACTGTAGATAGGAGATGCTCAGAGGTTGGTGGGGAGCCTGTATTCAAAAGATCACCTTTGTACACCTACCAGCCCCAGAGTGCACCATATTGGTCATATAAGAACTTTTGTCTCTGTCTGCACATTGATCCTGGAGGAGGAGAAGTTCAAGTTAACAAGCTAGGAAATACTAGGAAAGCCTCAGGACTGGCTGCTGATGAACCAGAGGAAGAGAGGCAGTTACAGAAGCTGGCTGGCTCCTCATGAGGTTGTCAAGCTAGGGAAGGAGGAGTAGCAATACTAGGCAGAGAAAGGTAGACATACTCTAGTTTTCCACACTGAAGTAGTACTGACCTGGGAAAGAATAAAATATTTACTTTAACTAAATTCTACAGTTTTTATAATGATATCTTTTTGGACATCCGAATTCTAAATTGAGATCAGGTTTTGTGATGTTCAGCAACCATGAGATCATTTGTTGGTTGAGAGTGACTCCAGAAGTCTCAGAGGTCAGAGAAGTCAGGCCCACAGAATTTAGTGTGACATTGAGAAATAAAAACAAAGATGCTCAAATAACTGGTTTTGCTTGTTCAGTGTAACAATTAGATATAAAGTTTTTAGTTGTATGAAAATTAATTTAAAAACTAAACCTAAAAAGGAAAATAAACTGGAAAAATATTTCCAGGAAATTAACAAAGAGTTTAATATGTATTTCATAAAAAATTCATTTAAATTTATAAGAAAAATATCTTAACCACAATAAATATGTAAAGAGCTTGAGCAAACAATTAATGCAAATAGAAATGAATAAAAAAGTAAAAATATGTATCTTATAATTAAAGAAATATAAAATAAGCAAATTTATGGCATATACTTATATCTAGTAAGTTAGTAGAAATAATGGTATATGATATGTAATACTGGTAATATTGGAGTGAAACCAACTATTTACTGAGAACATTGGTTTGATACAGTCCTTTTAAAAATAACATAGCAATAATCACAAATAATACAAACATCTCTATACATTAGCTTAGTAATAACATCCTTTGACATTTACCTCAAGAAAATGATTCAGCAGAATTCAAGGGTATATTCATGAATGTGGTCATGATTAAACCATCTATAATAGAAAATATAGAAATAACCTTAATATTTGGTAAACATTAAGATGGCAAAAAAGAAGTAACCTTAATATTAAATAATAGGAAATGAATTAATTTGATGTGATGCTATGACCATTAGAAGTGATCATTTTGAATAAACAAACCTAAAATATGCTTATAATGTAATACATATGGAAACTGAAAAAGATATTTTGTATATCAGAACTATAACATATATTAAATATATGTTAACTATATAAGACATACATATTTATTTCTACTTGAGATATATATAGTTTCAAATTGGTAATTTTGAATAATTGGCAGAGACAGTGTTAAACAGAATAGGGGATGATACAAACGTAAGGAAAAAATAATAAAATTCACTGGATGGGTGAAGTTTGTTTCACAGGACACAGAGAAAAGGGAAACCTGAGAATTCTAAATCTGATGTGGTTTCATGGCCCAGCTCTCTGTTTTATGTCTTTGAGATATACGGCAATTTACTTAACTTTTCTGAACTTCAGTGACCTCAAGTAAATATAAAGAGTTACTGAATTCAAGCCTTAAAATTATATTCTTTGATTTCCTTTTATATTCCTTTCTCTCTCCTTAATAAAGGAAAGTGCAGGATTTCTAGGGCAGAAGCCAGTTGGACTCCAGTTACACTGATGAAGTCAGAGAGATTTCAAACAGAAGCCAACTGAGAAATTGATCTTTTCAAAGACTAACACATCATAGTCTCATGGTAAAATGACATATATGTATTCACCTACATTTACATACCTTTTTTTGTTAACAGAAACCTTCACATTTTGTAAAGCTATCACTTATTTCCTTAATTGAAAAATAAAAGGGTTGTTGAAGACCAAGTTCAAATTCTAGTTTGAATTAGATGGTATATTTAGAAGAAAGGGACGGTATATTTCCCTTCAGAATGATCTGGAGGCCTGGTTCAAGATTCAAATACCTGGGCTTGCTGGAGTTCCACATCATGAGTTGGTGGTTCCGGTGGTAGGGCAACAGCCCATGCTCACTTCTTTCTCTTTCTGTCCCTGCTCTGCATCTCCTGAGGCCTTTGGATCCAAAGGCATAACATAACCTAGACCACATGTCCAAACTTTCCTACCACCCCACCATCCCTGCCCCAGACAGTCCCCTCTTGTTCTCTTCTTGATCCAGGGAGCAGACAATAGCTGTGTGGTCCCTCTCAGGGGGACAGACCTGGAAAAGGGAACTGTGTATAAAATATTGGAGTCTCAGATATTAAAAATGTGATCTAGAAGGCGGCATGTTTACTCTGTGCTCTTTGCCTTCTGGGGAGAAACAGGACTGGAGGAGGGACAGAAAGTAGCCCCTCTATAGGGTGGGACATGGGGCAAGTGTCCTTCTTGCCCAAGTCTAAAGTCCTGTTGCTGGATCCTTAATTGATTAACCTCTTTAGTTGCTTAACCTCCTACTTAGCTCCACTTTAACCACCCTTAGGCTCAGTTTCACTTTGGGCCTCCTAATCTCTCAAAATGGAAAATCTTTGCTCATGCCTTTCCTCTACTTTCATTCCTATCAGACCAGTGGATGATATTTCCTTTATTAACTTATGCAGGCAGGCCTTTCTGCTATGCATTCACTCAACTCAGCCACACCCTCCCCAAACTCTCTCAATCAGTTTCTGAGATATGCTGCTGTCTTTGTTCTTTTCTTCCTCCTACCTTGCTCTTCATTTTATTATTTCCATTTAAGGTCCACCATGAGTCAGTCATTGGAGATAAATACAGCAGGACATAAGACAAACATGGCCCATGCTTCATGGAGATCACAGTTTACTGGGGGAATGGATATTAAGTAATTAGATACAATTCTGATGAGTGCTGTGAAGGTGATGTACAAAGTTATATGAGAGTCTAAAACAGGGTCCTAACATAATGTGGGAGCAATTGCACCTCAACTTTAGGTAAACAATCCTATTTCCTTTACTTTGGTTTCCATGCTGCTGCATATTCCTTGATTTAATGCTACTACTCAATCACAGCTGGGTCGTCCTTGCTACTTAATGATTTTGAAGTTTCACTCTCACAGGTTTTGTAAGAACTAAAGAACGGCTAAGGCTGGGCGCCGTGGCTCACACCTGTAATCGCAGCACTTTGGAAGGCCGAGGTGGGTGGATCACCTGAGGTCGGGAGTTCGAGACCAGCCTGACCAACATGGAGAAACCCTGTCTCTACTAAAAATACAAAATTAGCCGGGTGTGGTGGCACATGCCTGTAATCCCAGCTATTCAGGAGGCTGAGGCAGGAGAATCGCTTGAACCTGGGAAGCAGAGGTTGCAGTGAGCCGAGATCACGCCATTGCACTCCAGCCTGAGCAACAAGAGCTAAACTTCATCTTAAGAAAAAAAGAAGAAAGGCTAAAATGTAATCAATGTAAAATAGGCTGTGATGTAATTCATGCTTACATGCATGTGGTAATCTCATACCAAAAGGATATAGCTAAATTTAATACAGAGAACACACAGATTTGTTTTTCTCCTCATTTTGGAGCCTTGCTACTCTAAGCTTCTATCTATGCCTAGTGAAATATCTCCTAAGAATCATCACATCTATTTGTCTTGATTTATTTCATATAAATTGACCTTTTGTTAGCATTCATAGTACAAGGAAAATAAAAAGCAGTTACCTTCGATAGTGTATTAGTCCGTTCTCACGCTGCTATAAAGAAATACCCAAGACTGGGTAATTTATAAAGGAAAGAGGTTTAATTGACTCACAGTTTCACATGGCTGGGGAGGCCTCAGGAAACTTACAATCATGGTGGAATGCAAAGGAGAAGCAAGGACCTTCTTCACATGGCGGCAAGAGAGAGAAGAGTGAAGGGGAAAGAGCCCCTGATTAAACCATCAGATCCCATGAGAACTCACTCACTATCACGAGAACAGCATGGGGAAACCGCTCCCATGATCTAATCACCTCCCATCAGGCTCTCTCCCTAGACACGTGGGGATTATGGGGATTATAATTCAAGGTGAGATTTGTGTGGGGACACAGCCAAACCATATCAAATAGCAAGTGCAATCTGTCTGGCTACTGAAAAGACATATCCATTACCAAATAACAAATTGGCATTCTGATTTGTTTTCGTTTTTTAGAGACAGGGTCTCATCCTGTCACTCAGGCTGGAAAGCAATGGCACAATCATAGCTCACTGAAACCTGGAAATCCTGGGCTCAAGTGACCCTCCCAACTTGGCCTCCTGAAGCACTGGGATTACAGGTGCAAGCCACCACACCTGGCCACATTCTGATTTTTAAAATCATTTTCTTATAGTTTTAGTGTAAATTGCTTACACATAAATTTTTTACCTGCTTATGCTTATATGAAATAATGCAATAGAACTAGAACTTCTGACCCTAAAATGCTAAGAATGTATCATGGATCCATGTTAATATTACTGACCTATAAAACTAACATGAGCTGTTAAGTTTTAAGTTTACTCTGAAATTGCTTCTTCTAAAACTGTATCAACTATGGATACTAAGAAAGAAGAGAATGAGGAGTGGGGAAGAGGAGGAGAAGGGAAAAGAGGAAGAAGAAGAGGAGGAGGGAAAAGAGGAAGAAAGAGAAGAGGAGGAGGGAAAAGAGGAAGAAGAAGAAGAGGAGGAGGGAGAAGAGAAGGAGGATAACTAAAAGAGTTTCTAAGTAATGAAAAGAAGTTGTGCCTAACTTTGCTCCATATGTAATTTAAAACATCAAGATACTGTGCCATCATAAGTATAAGGAAATTCAACTAAGTGCAGATTTTTCCATTATAACCACATAAATGCTTTTTGAAATATCAAAAATTTCATTTTCCCTTCAAGATTTGTAACATCTTATCCTTTTTTTTTTTTGGCTTTGTCTCCTGTGCAAACTGGTTATAAATTCTTCCCATCTCTGTGTGCAGCTGCTTTGCAAAACTCCTCCTGTCAGGAGATGGCATTTATTTTTCCACTTCTTGAATCTGGGCTTGACCATTTGTCTCATTTTGGCTGATGGGACATGAGTAAACTTGCAAGTAGAGGTTTAAAAAGTGCTTGTACTTTGAGATTTGGCATTTCTGTTTTTGTTTTTCAGAATCTGGAGACAACTGTGGGTAGAAACCAGGGCTAGCCTATGGGAGGATGAGAGACAACATGAGACATGGATGAGTTGTCCCTTGTCTCAGAGATGAGGCTCATTAGGCCTAGCCAGCCTGCTAATGGCTATGAATGAAGTCACCCCAGACCACCACCCCAGCTGAGTCACACTAGGTGATCAGAGAGATTCAGCAAGTTGGCCCAGGGTAGAAGAATTGCCCTGTTTACTCACAGAATCACCATATAAACTGGTGGTTTTTTACGCTGCCCAGCTTGGGTGGGGTTGTTATTCAGTACCCGTCCTCCTGCTGAGTGGGAAGTTTGGCTCTGGCTGTGCCCAGGTTACGACACAGACATCTACCTGACAGCAAAGGGTCAGCATCGGTGGAGGCTCATCCTAAAGGAGGAACCTCCTGAGGTGAGAAGGGGAATACCAATAAGAACTGATTCCAGGGACCAGAGTGAGGAGAAAATAGAGTGGAATGGTTTCTTTGAAAGTAGATGCAAAACTCCTTTGAAAGAAGATGCAAAAAGAAGAACTTGTAAGACAAATGAAAAATCCCATCCAGAGAAAAGGCTTCTGGGAATGGAAGTAATAACATACTGAACTGGGAAGAAACTTTGTTCTGATCTTTATCTTTGTAAAATAATAAAATGATCCTTTTTTGAAAGAGATTCCTTTAATATGATATATAGAGTTTCAACCCACATCTGCCACATGGTGGATATTTAGTAAATATTTGTGGAAAAGAAGTGAATTCAATGGACATGTTTCTACTGGGATACTCCAAGATTAGTAATAGTAAGTTGTGCAATACTCTCCATTTAAAAATATTGTATATCATATTTATTTGGGTTGGAAACACTATTCAGTCTTCGTAATATCTTGCTTTAAGAGAGTTCAAATTACCATATAGACTTTTTCCCCCCAGAGAACACTAATTGGGCATAGGGAATGAGATGCAGTTGTAAAAGCATCATTCACAGTACCTGGCAGGATGTGATGTGCTCATTGTACCTCTAACAAGTATTGAATGGCTTATTGGTGCCAGGGACTGTTTTCTTTGTGTTATGTATGTATTAACACATTTAATCCTTGCATCAGCCCTATGAATAGGTAATATCTTTACCTCCATTTTATAATTAAGGGATCTCAGCCAGAGGGAAGTTATTTACACAGCTAATGTATTGGAATAGGGATTTGAACCCAGTCAGTGTGGCTTCCAAGCCACTCCTCAAAAACCAACAATTTTTTAGTACTTCTTATTTGAGGAATTTGCTAAGGTTTTAATGGGTAAAAGTCAAGTCATTCAATTCTCATAATTTCTCTCTAAGGTACTATTGCTATTTGCACTTTACAGCAGGTGCTCAAAATGTGCTGATTGTGTGCCCTGCCTTTTTCTTTTTGCCCCTTGCCCTTATTTGCCCTCTCTGTTCATGATTCTGCAGTGACTGAAAGAGAGTCTGTCTCCCAGGATGCTCAGCCTCGATCTTTGCACACTCACCTGAGCTGCCTGGCGCCATCCTGTGTGGTTTCTGGCTTGGGCCTGATGCTCTCTGGTGATCGAGCTTGTCCCTTTTTGCTACGTACAGGCCCAGCCAGGCCTAGCAGCAGGAGTGTACTTATGTAATGTAGGAAGACCCCACCCAGACTCATTAAACCTGGAAACAGCTGGTAACTATTTCCATGTATCTGCTTCAGGATAAGCAAAGGCAGGCTAGGAATTGTTATGTGACTTTCTCGAAGTATATAGCAAATCATTGCCTAAGTGATAATAAAAGTATGGGCCTCTTGCCTTGGCTTCCATGCTTGCTTTTTTATTATGTCATGCTTTTATTATTATTATTTTAAAGTACGTGTCTTCCTTGTTATGTGATCATATATTAACCAGAAGAGTTTAATTTAGAAAAAAATTTAAAGCACAGCATTTTATAGGTAAATTATTAGGTCAATTCTTACACTTAGTTCAGAAGGAATTTAATTTTCAAAAAGCAAGTTGAATTGTCAAGGAATATGCTTTCTATGATGATGAAAGTCTTGGGGAGTACCCCTCCTTCCCTTCCCTGTTCAGCCCCTCATCCCAGCCTCTTAGGAAGCATTTAATCTTAAATCACTGGGTCAACTGAAGCAATAAGACTGTGGTTTGGCAACACTAAAACAAATGCAGATGTTTTAGAACATTTCTTGCCCAAACTAGGGAATGCTTATTTCGCTGATAAGGTTTTAGAAATACTTTTTAAAACAGTATTTCATATTTTAAAATGTGGCTTGTCAAATTTTTATATTAAAATAATCCCATGAGAAATATGTTGATTACTTCATTGATTTAAATATTACTGTAATTGATATAATTTCCTTTTAATATCAAAGATCTGGTTCATAGAAATAAATTTATGGGAAATGTTTCCCCTTGTGATTATCTTGTGCTTTCTTGCCGCAATAAATAAGAAAACAGATTTTCTGCAGATGTTTCTATTAGCATATTGAGTATTCTGAGCCACAAAGTCTGACTTAAGTTTAATTAAAAATATCCACCTTAAAAACCCTTGGGAATAAGTTGAATATATTTTTTTCTGTTTCAGTTTAATGCCACACAGAAACTAGTTTTGTAACTTTCATGAATTTCTTTTTGTATGAAATAATTTAAGAAACCTGTACTTTCTTTACAAGGGTATGTTAATAGTTTTAGCAAAAAAAAAAAATTACATGTAAATATACATTTAAATATATAGTATCTCCTTGGGGAATCATCCAATTAACTTACATGTATTTGAATTTAAAATAAAATAATCAATAATTATATGTGTATAGCTAGTGGGATGGGAGCTTTTCAATTTCATAAACTATTAAGTAGAAAATTTTGATTTTGGTTAATTATTCTTTTTTTTTGCACTGCTGTCAACTTAGAAGATGTTTGAAATGAAAGAATTTTTTGCTCATATCTTGTGAAACAGTAAAAGGCCAAAGTGCTAGGAAAATAAGTAAATTCTTTATGATGCTTGAAGCCTTTTTAATTCAAGACTGGATAGGGAATAGTAAGCAAATAGTGGTGTTTTAAATAATTCTAGGTTATATAGGAAAAGATAAAATTGAAAGAATACTGTAGATGGAAAGATAAAAATGTGATAGTTGTCTTATTATACATTTTGAAATGTTTTATTTAAATAACTTTCAATAAAAGCATAACATTTTCATATACTATTTTAATTTTAACATTTCTACGTCATGTCTATCAGTTGCATTTTATAAACCAATGTTATTTTCAGGACATAGCTAGAGGGATCTACTTTACAGAGGTATATATTGTATTGTGATTTCTTTTAAGGATTCATGTTGTTGACCTAATTCTTTGATTCAGAAATAACAAACAACTAGTTGAATCTGGTCTCACTGGGAACTGTATTTTGGAGCAAATAATTAGAACAAGTTTTAACTAAGGGTATTTGCCTACCACCCACTCAGTCCCTACTCCAGTTAAGACATGCATGAAAAGAATATATAATAACACATCAAAAGCACTAAGAACATAGAGAAACTCTGCATGAACATTGCCCAATTTACTGCTTTCCCATGTAGAATATAGTTTGTCTTACAAAGTTTCAGACAAGTGCAAGAGTTTCCTTCTATGTATATTTTTATTAACCTAATATAAAAGTCAATCCTCTTGCAAAATGACATCAGAACATTTTACTGCTTACTGAGGTCTGTAATTATTTGACTTTCCTCCAATCCATTTTCTATAATCAGCAATTACGTTTTTTAAAACATCATATATTTGACCATGCATCAGCTCTGCCCTTTATCTTCTCCATGTTTCTTTTCTTCACAATGTTTATTTCAGTTTATAAAGATAGTGTAGGCATTTGATTAGTTCCTGTCCTTACTCACCCCCGCCAGCACACACACTAGAGTAAGGACTAGGTCAGTTTTTGTTCACCGTTCTAGTCCCAGGGCCTAACACCATGCTTGTTCCATAGCAAGTGCTTCATAAATATTAGCTGAATCAAAAGGGACCACGGAAATTGATGTTGCGTGAAACAGAGTCCTTCCTACATTGTCTAAGTATCTTCAGCGAATATGAAAGTTCTGGCATGTTTCTTATTGCTTCTTAGCTTCTAAAAATGCCTCATTGAATAACCCCACTCTCCCACTTTTGGAAATGAAAGCTTGGTTGGGAATGTCTTGTTGCTATTTCTTGCTGCTAAATTCTACCAAATGTCTGGCTGAAAAATGATTGCTGTTGCCTTTCACAAGAACACTAAAATAACATAACTCTTGTATTTATTATTTTTTTCTTCCATTTCTATTCGACAAACATTAAAGAAGTATGTCACACCAGCCACTAGAATAAAGGATAATAGAGTTTTGACCATTTAGCCAAGTCCTGTTTCACCTATGGCAATATTGTAGCAAAATGCAATTACACTTTGGCCCACAGGCCCCCTTCCCTGATCAGAGGTTGTCTTGCTTTGGAGGACTGTTTTTCCTTTCCAAAGGGTGGTTATAAGAGTTAACGTGCAATTTTCCTGGTACAGCAGATGTTCTTTTCTCTTTAGGAATAGGGGCCCATGTGGAAAAATAAAACCCACCACCCACATGGCAGAGTTTCCATCTCCCTCTGGAAGCTTACAGTGAAGCCCTGTTCAAATCAGCTTCAGTGGAAGACAATGCATTTGCTTCCTATTGCACACCTTACCAAGCAAGTTGCTAAGGGCTAACCCCAAGAAAAAAGGTTTTCATTAGGAATGTCAACCCTAACAAAGAGGATGGAAGCTGGAAGGCTGTTTGGGTGGCTGGCGGGAGAGTGCTCCTTCCTGCCAAAGGTGAACATCAGCATCATAAACAGACCTCAGAGAACATTTGAGAAGGCAAAAGGGCTTAAGGAGCACTTCTTCACACATCGCACAGCTCTAGAGATCGGAGAGTTGCTGGAGTTAATGGAGGAAGTAAAACAAAAAAAAAAAAAACAGAATGAAAACTTCAATAACATGAAAGGAATGCAAATCTGGTAAGAACAGATTTTAAAGAAGAGAGGTGTGAATGCCCATATAACTGTAGCAAACACCTTTGGCCTCATGTCAAAGTATGGTCAGATCCTGGGCATGAGTGGATTTCTTGCTCTTCTGGTATTTTTGCTTCATATCTGAGAAAAGTTTGGAGCATAGGTGGGTTTTGTTTCTGTCTCCCAGCAGCAGAACCTGAAGTTTGGATGGGCTTCTCTAGGTATTCCTGTTCTTCCCTCAGACTTTGGCAGGTACTAAAACTTCGCTACCAAGGAAGGGGTCTCTCAGGTCTCCTGCCCTGTCCCCAATCTTCCTTCTGAGCACCTAGAGGAGGTTTGTGGAGCTAATGAATGGATAGGGGCTCCCCTTGTGTTTGGGGCTCCCAGAGATTCTAAATGCTCATGCTAGCCAACTGTCAGTTTATAACAATTTTTGCAGAGTTTTTCTTAACTGCTTTTGTGACTGTCACTTCTTCCTCCTGTACTCTGCCAAAGGTAAACAGTTCATGTGTCCTATTTCTCCTGAGTAGCTTGGCACACTTTGGAATGGAGTTCACCTGATTGCCTTGAGATGTAAGCTCTCAATTAAAGTGACTATTTTACATAATAGATTATCCAGTTTTTTCTCACTGTTATATTGAGAGTGATGCCCTTTTTCTATATTTGTACATCCTAAGTGGAAGTGTGGCCTTCTTCCTTCATTTCCATTTGATATTATCTTGCTCTCTGGGGAAACACACTAATTTGGTTCTTCCTAAACTGTACTCAATCTCCAACTAAAAGTGATAATCCCATCAGAAGATACTGATCTCCACAGCCCAAGATTCTCCACTTTGCATTTATTTTAAAGGAAGCACAGATGATATAGATCAGTGTTTGTTTTTGGTTATTTCTTGTGTTAAGTAAAGTTTATGACTGGTAGGCAGTCATTGTCAGCCAAGCAATCAAGAACTGATTCAGAAATTCACATCCTCTCTTTATTTCTTATGGAAAAATGGCTTGGGAATTCTACAGACTCATGGTTTAATACAACGAAGGATGATTTAGTACAGCAAAATGAGTTACTAAGAGTAATAAAATTTTGTTTTTCATGAACCAAACTGGCATGGTTCTACTACATGAAGAATCTAATTTAGTGTTTTATAATGAAGTCTGGTGAATATTTCCCGTAGCTTTACTAGTTATCCATTGCTGCATAACAAATTACTCTAAAACTTAGTGTTTCAAAACAATAAACATGTATTCTGTCACAGTTTCTGAGTACAAAATCCCAGCATGTCTTGGCTGGTTGCCTGTAGGTCAAGGTCTCTCAAGAAATTAAGGTCTTTTGATTTTTTAATGTTGTTTGAAGACTTGCCTGAGGTGGAATTTGGGAGAGATTGGAGCATGGGTAAATTTTTTGCTGTTCCCTTGAGATTTTAAGACTGCATACTGGAATGACATTCCATCACTTCTGCCATATTCTGTTTGTTAGAAGAGAGTCAGTAAGTATAGCCCTCATTGAACTGTGTAAATGAGAAGAGGTAGGATCATTAGGGGCCATCTTAGAGGCTGCCTGCTACAATAGCTGAATTCCTACTTTCAGCATTCCCATGTAGGTAGCTGCAATTGCCACTATTTTCAGGAAGAATCCTGTATTATCACTGCAAATGCAGTATTTTCTTGAGCTAATTATGATTTAGATGTTCTGAGATATATGCACCATTAATGAATGCATTTGTAGACTTGACCTGAAAATTTATTTATCGATCTTTTATTTTTGTGTATTTACTACCTTTTAACTATTTTTTAAAGGCATTTTCTTTTAAAAATTCTTTGGTATAACTGGGGTTCTCCCACTGATAGGGTTTGGCTGTGTCCCCAACCAAATCTCACCTTGAATTGTAATAATCCCCACATGTCAATGATGGGGCAGGTGGAGGTAGTTGAATCATGGGGGCAGTTTCCCCCATACTTTTCTTGTGGTAGTGAGCAAGTCTAATGAGGTCTGATGGTTTTATAAATGGGGGTTCCCTTGAACAGCTCTCTTGCCTTCCACCATGTAAGACGTATCTTTTCTCATTTGCCTTCTGCCATGATTGTGAGGTTTCCCCAGCCATGTGAAATTGTTAGTCAACTAAATCTGTTTCCTTTATAAATTACCCAGTCTCAGGTGTGTCTTTATTAGCAGTGTGAGAGCAAACTAACATACCCACACTTCCTTTGAAAAAGAGACCTGTAACGATTGAGAACAGGTGGCAAATAAATCAGATAGGGAATTTAATGTCGTATTCAGTTTAGAGACAAGAACAATAAACTATAGTTGACAGTTTGGACCCCGAACATCTTTTCTTCTAACTTTGAAAATATACTTGGTCAAGATTAGCATAAAGTCCCTTCTTTTCCAATTCTAAAATTTTCTGGTTATAATCAGGCAATGTATCTCAGTTTCTTCTATGGATAAGAATTAAAGGAGACAGAATAAAGTCAAAGTAGATAGCAAAAAGAAGTATCTTAGAGGTGATTTACTTACTTTCTCATTTTATAGATACAGAAAGTGAATCCCTGAAAGCCTCAGTTTCAAAGATATCATTCAAAGATATTTAAAGTGTTAATAGTCTAAACCCAAACCCATGATATTCCCTTACAAAGATGTTCCTCATTTCAGTTAATGGCAAGATGCAGGTCTCTGCTGACACTCTCATTCACTACATATATAATCCATCATGAAATCCTAAAGGACCACAGGCTACATTCTGAAACCCTGCAAAGTCTCTTTGCTACTTCTACTCTTACACCTTTCTAATTTATTCTCCACAGAGTGGGCAGAAGAATTCTTTCAAAATGAAAATCTAATCACATCAATTCAATTCCTTTGAAATGCTGCTAGCTTTATGACCAAAATCGCTAAGAAGTCCTATTAGGTCCTGCAAGATCTGACTTCTCCTGTCCTGTCTGGAACCTCTATTCCCCTTACCTACTGAGAGGTGACAGCCACACTGTGGAAGCTTTGTTCTTTCGCTCTTTGCAATAAATCTTGCTACTGCTCACTCTTTGGGCCCACACTGCCTTTAGGAGCTGTAACACTCACTGCGAAGGTCTGCAGCTTCACTCCGGAAGCCAGTGAGACCACAAACCGACCCGGAGGTACGAACAACTCCAGACGCGCAGCCTTAAGAGCTGTAACACTCACCGCGAAGGTCTGCAGCTTCACTCCTGAGCCAGCGAGACCACGAACCCACCAGAAGGAAGAAACTCCAAACACATCCGAACATCAGAAGGAACAAACTCCGGACACGCCGGCCTTAAGAATTGTAACACTCACCGCAAGGGTCCGCGGCTTCATTCTTTGAGTCAGTGAGACCAAGAACCCACCAATTCTGGACACACTACTTTAAACCACTCTCATTCTTACTTTAAACCACTCTGCTGGCTCAGGGCCTTTCCTTAAACTCTTCCCTCTGCCTGGACCAGTCTTCCCTGCTCCCTGCTCCCTTCTCCACCTTATATCTTATATCTCTGGTTAGATATCACTTCCTCCAGGAAGCATTCTTTAACCTCTCTCAAGTTCTTCTGCATTATAATGCCCTTATCACATTTTTTAGTTACATTTTTATTTTGTGATTTATGTGATTACCTCCTGCCTTCCCCATCAGACTGTTAGTGTTATGAGAGCAGGAATGATGACAGTATTGTGCGCAATAGTATTTCCAGTATCTGGCAAAGAATTTGAGATATAGAAACTCTTATGGAATATCTGAATGAATGAGGGGCTTTAGACTCAGGTCCCTTACCCTCTTGTCCGCTACGACTTCTAACGCATTTTGCTGCCTTTTCCTCTCTTCTAGGCACTTTTATCTTTTAATAAAAATGAAAGAAACAAAAGAATTTTAACTTCACATTTAAAAATTGGAAATGAATAATAATTGAAGTAATAAAAAATCAATTGTTCAAAATTGAATTGTGTAAATAGAAAAACTAAGAACATGCATCTCAGTGCTAAAACATGCAGATGAATATAGAAGCACTGAGGGGAAAATTCAGGAATTTTCACCATTGTCATGGTAAAATAAAAGTAGAGACTATACATTTACCTATGTTGTGAGTTGGTTCAGTGAAGATAGCAAGTTACCGGAAGACAGGAGCTAGAAAAAGAGCCCTAAGTCACACTACCATTGGCAGCATACCTCGAAAGAGATGGGCAAAATGGGGGCTTCTTTTTAGACTCTAAAATGTAATTCATAGACTGTCAGTCTTTCCTAGCTAATTATTAAAAATGAATCCTGTTGACATTTGATTATGGCATTCTCCCCCCCACTGCCCTTCCACCAAAAAGATCAGCTTCAAGTAAAGGAAAAAAATTTCAATGACCTACTAACCTAGTTAGATTGTTAGAGTCAGACTTTGGCCACAAAATGACTTCCTGTGATTCACAGTTGGCTCTAAGTAAATGTTCTAAAACTCTTGGCAGTAGCTTTTAAAAAATTACTTTTTTTTTTTTCTTTTTGCAAATGGTAAGCAGACCTACCTTGAAAGTTATGAGTGAGATGCATGGAATTCTGCTGTTCCCTGTAGAAGAGGCAAATAGAAAAGACTGCCAGAAAACACTGAAGCACCGGCAAAGAATGATCTAAAGCCCTCTTTCAGGAAATTTGCATGGTTGCCATCCCACACCTGAGTGTAGATGTGTGCCTTCACTAACATCCTGAGTAGGACTATGTTCTTTTAAGTCTGACAAGTGAAAGGCTTGCCCAGACCTTATCTGATTGTGTAATACTTATTAAGCATGATCACTTTAACAAGAAATTGCCTTATACAATTATTCGCAGGTACCAGTTCAATATCTTTTGGATTTTTTTTACATGAACTGACTTTATGTGAAATACCCCATTTGTAAGAAGTCCTTACAAAGTATAAACAACCATTTGTAGTTACAAAAATTATGTACATGGACTTGAACAGTTCCCACCAGGATAAAACAATAGGGACAAGATTTATCCTTTTAAGCAACAATTAGAAAAACAAAGTATGTAAAACACTGGTTTTCAGATATTGAACATGAAGCAGCACAGGACAGTGATCCCTGAGAGAAAAGAAAGGAATGTGGCAAATGAAAAGATGCCTTTCTATTTGCATAGATGAAAAGAATGTCGCTGAGAGAGAATATAGCATTGGAGCAGGGGCTAGAGGGTGAGAAGGATGCAGCATGGTACAGGAGAAAGGGCAATCCTTAAACTCCGGCATCAGCAAGACTTGTCCTTCAAGCTCAGCTCTTCCATTTACTCAATACACACAGCAGCCATTCAAAAATAGAAGAGAATGTTTACCAGATACCAGATATCACACTTGAGGCAAAAATTGTCATTGAAGGACAGAATATTGAATTCAGAAATAAAGAGAAAAAGTTGTGGAATAGGCTATTTTTCCTTAAATATTGCTTCTGCCCTATTCTCTCCTTTCCTTTCAGGACTCCAACTAAACAGATTTATACCTTTTGACCATGCTTTGCGCCTCTCTTACTTTATGTTCTGTTGATTCAATTTTTGTTTCTCTTTTTTTTTTAAATTATACTTTAAGATCTGGGATACATGAGCAGAACGTCCACGTTTGTTACATAGGTATATATGTGCCATGGTGGTTTGCTGCACCCATCAGCTCGTCATCTACATTAGGTATTTCTCCTAATGCTATCCCTCCCCTTGCCCCACACCCCCCATGAGGACCCAGTGTGTGATGTCCCCCTCCCTGTGTCCATATGTTCTCATTGTTCAATTCCCACTTACAAGTGAGAACATGTGGTGTTTGGTTTTCTGTTCCTGTGTTAGTTTGCTGAGAATGATGGTTTCCAGCTTCATCCATGTCCCTGCAAAGGACATGAACTCATTTTTTTTTTTTTATGGCTTCATGGTATTCCATGGTGTTTATGTGCCACATTTTCTTTATGCAGTTTATCGTTGATGGGCATTTGTGTTGGTTCCAAGTCTTTGCTATTGTAAATGGTGCTGTAATAAACATACATGCGCATGTCTTTATAGTAGAATGATTTATAATCCTTTGGGTATATACCCAGTAATGGGATGGCTGGGTCAAATAGTATTTCTAGTTCTAGATCCTTGAGAAATTACCACACTGTCTTCCACAATGGTTGAACTAGTTTACACTCCCACCAACAGTGTAAAAGCATTCCTATTCCTCCACATCCTCTCCAGCATCTGTTGTTTCCTGACTTTTTAATGATCGTCATTCTAACTGGCGTGAGATGGTATCTCATAGTGGTTTTGATTTGCATTTCTCTAATGACCAGTGATGATAAGCTTTTTTTCATATGTTTTTTGGCCACATGAATGTCTTCTTTTGAGAAGTGTCTGTTCATATACTTTGCCCACTTTTTAATGGGATTTTTTTTCTTAAAATTTGTTTAAGTTCCTTGTAGATTCTGGATATTAGCCCTTTGTCAGATAGATAGATTGAAAAAATTTTCTCCCATTCTGTAGGGTGCCTGTTCACTCTGATGATAGTTTCTTTTGCTGTGCAGAAGCTCTTTAGTTTGATTAGATCCCATCTATTCATTGTGGCTTCTGTTGTAATTGCTTTTGGTGTTTTAGTCATGAAGTCTTTGCCCATGCCTATGTCCTGCATGGTATTGCCTAGGTTTTCTTCAGGGTTTTTAGGGTTTTAGGTCTTACATTTAAGTCTTTAATTTATCTTGAGTTAATTTTTGTATAAGGTGTAAGGAAGGGGTCCAGTTTCAGTTTTCTGCATATGGGTAGCCAGTTTTCCCAACACCATTTATTAAATAGGAAATCCTTTCCCCATTGCTTGTTTTTGTCAGGTTTGTCAAAGATCAGATGATTATAGATGTGTGGGATTATTTCTGAGGCCTCGGTTCTGTTCTATTGGGCCATATATCTGTTTTGATACCAGTACCATGCTGTTTTGATTACTGTAAACTTGTAGTATAGTTTGAAGTCGGGTAGCATGATGCCTCCAGCTTTTTTTTTTTTTTTTTTTTCTTAGGATTGCCTTAGCTATATGGGCTCTTTTTTGGTTCCATATGAAATTTAAAGTATTTTTTTAATTCTGTGAAGAAAGTCAATGGTAGTTTGATGGTAATAGCATTGAATCTATAAATTACTTTGGGCTGTATGGCCATTTTCACGCTATTGATTCTTTCTATCCATAAGCATGGTATTTTTTTCATTTTCTTGTGTCCTCTCATATTTCCCTGAGCAGTGGTTTGTAGTTCTCCTTGAAGAACCCCTTCACATCCCTTGTAAGTTGAATTCCTAGGTATTTTATTCCTTTGTAGCAATTGTAAATGGGAGTTCACTCATGATTTGGTTCTCTGTCTATTATTAGTGTATAGGAATGCTTGTGATTTTTCTGCATTGATTTTGTATACTGAGACTTTGCTTAAGTTGCTTATCAGCTTAAAGAATTTTTGGGCTGAGATGATGGAGTTTTCTAAATATACAATCATGTCATCTGCAAACAGAGACAATTTGACTTCCTTTCTTCCTATGTGAATACCCTTTATGTTTTTCTCTTGCCTGCTTGCTCTGGCTAGAACTTCCAATACTATATTGAATAGGAGTGGTGAGGGTTTTGTCTTGTGCCAGTTTTCAAAAGGAATGCTTCCAGCTTTTGCCCATTCAGTATGCTATTGGCTATGGGTTTGTCATAAATAGCTCTTATCATTTTAAGATATGTTCCATCAATACCTAGTTTATTGAGTGTTTTTAGCATGAAGGGCTGTTGAATTTTATCGAAGGCCTTTTTTGCATCTAGTGAGATAATGATGTGGTTTTTGTCATTGGTTCTGTTTATGTGATAGATTGCATTTATTGGTTGGCGTGTCAACTGGCCTTACATCCCAGGGATGAAGCTGACTTGATTTTGGTGGATAAGCTTTTTAATGTGCCAATGGATTTGGTTTGCCAGTATTTTACTGAGGATTTTTGCATCGATGTTCATCAGGGATATTGGCCTGAAATTTTCTTTTTTAGTTGTGTCTCTGCCAGGTTTTGGTATCAGGATGATGCTGGCCTCATAAAACGAGTTAGGGAGGAGTCTCTCTTTTTCTACTGTTTAGAATAGTTTCAGAAGGAGTGGTACCTGCTCCTCTTTGTACCTCCGATAGAATTCGGCTGTGAATCTGTCTGGTCCTGGGCTTTTTTTGGTTGGTAGGCTATTAATTACTGCCTCAATTTCAGAACTTGTAATTGGTCTATTCAGGGATTCGACTTCTTCCTGGTTTAGTCTTGGGAGGGTTTATGTGTCCAGGAATTTATCCATTTCTTCTAGATTTTCTACTTTATTTGTGTAGAGGTGTTTATAGTATTCTCTGATGGTAGTTTGTATTTCTGTGGGATCAGTGGTGATATTTTCTTTATCATTTTTTATTGTGTCTATTTGATTCTTCTCTCTTTTCTTCTTTATTAGTCTGGCTAGTGGTCTGTCTATTTTGTTAATCTTTTCAAAAAACTGGCTCCTGGATTCATTGATTTTTTTAAGGGTTTTTCATGTGTCTATCCTCTTCAGTTCTGCTCTGATCTTAGTTATTTCTTGTCTTCTGCTAGTTTTTGAATTTGTTTGCCCTTGCTTTTCTAGTTCTTTTAATTGTGATGTTAGTGTGTCAATTTTAGATCTTTTCGGCTTTCTCCTGTGGGCATTTAGTGCTATAAATTTCACTCTAAATACTGCTTTAAATGTGTCCCAGAGATTCTGGTACATTGTGTCTTTGTTCTCATTGGTTTCAAAGAACTTATTTATTTTTGCCTTAATTTCATTATTTACCCAGTAGTCATTCAGGAGCAGGTTGTTCAGTTTCCATGTAGTTGTGTGGTTTTGAGTGAATTTCTTAATCCTGAGTTCTAATTTGATTGCACTGTGGTATAAGAGACTGTTTGTTATGATTTCTGTTGTTTTGCATTTGCTGAGGAGTGTTTTACTTCCAATTATATGGTCAATTTTAGAATAAGTGCTATGTGGTGCTGGGAAGAATGTATATTCTGTTGATTTGGGGTGGAGAGTTCTGTAGATGTCTATTAGGTCCATTTGGTTCAGAGCTGAGTTCAAATCCTGAATAGCCTTGTAAATTTTCTCTCATTGATCTGTCTAATATTGACAGTGGTTTATTAAAGTCTGTCACTATTATTGTGTGGGAGTCTAAGTCTCTTTGTAGGCCTCTAAAGACTTGCTTTATAAATCTGGGTGCTCCTGTATTGGGTGCATATATATTTATGATAGTTAGCTCTTCTTGCTGCATTGATCCCTTTACCATTATGTAATGCACTTCTTTGTCTTTTTTGATCTTTGTTGGTTTAAAGTCTGTTTTATCAGAGACTAGGATTGTAAACCTTGCTTGTTTTTGCTTTCCATTTGCCTGATGAATATTCCTCCATCCCTTTATTTTGAGCCTATGTGTGTCTTTGCACATGAGATGGGTCTCGGGAATACAGCACACCAATGTGTCTTTACTCTTTATCCAATTTGCCAGTCTGTGTCTTTTAATTGGGGCATTTTAGCCCATTTATATTTAAGGTTAACATTGTTATGTGTGAATTTGATCTTGTCATTTTGATGCTAGCTTGTTATTTTGCACATTAGTTGATAGAGTTTCTTCATAATGTTGATGGTCTTTACATGTTTGTGTTTTTGCAGTGGCTGGTACCGGTTTTTCCTTTCCATATTTAGTGCTTCCTTCAGGAGCTCTTGTAAGGCAGGCCTGGTGTTGACAAAATCCCTCAGCATTTGCGTGGCTGTAAACGATTTTATTTCTCCTCCGCTTATGAAGCTTAGTTTGGCTGGATATGAAATTCTGGGTTGAAAATTCTTTTCTTTAAAAATGTTGAATATTGGCTCCCACTGTCTTCTGGCTTGTAGGGTTTCTGCAATGAGATCCACTGTTAGTCTGATGAGTTTCCCTTTGTGGGTAACCCAACCTTTCTCTCTGGCTGCCCTTAATGTTTTTTCCTTCATTTCACCCTTGGTGAATCTGACAATGGTGTGTCTTGGGGTTGCTCTTCTCGAGGAGTATCTTTGTGGGGTTCTCCGTATTTCCTGAATTTGAATGTTGTCCTGTCTTGCTAGGTTGGGGAATTTCTCCTGCATAACATCCTTAAGTTTGTTTTCCAGCTTGGTTCCATTCTCCCCATCACTTTCAGGTACACCAATCAAACATAGATTTGGTCTTTTCACATAGTCCCATATTTCTTGGAGGCTTTGTTCATTCCCTTTAATTCTTCTTTCTCTAACTGTCTTCACACTTTATTTCATTAAGTTGATCTTCTATCTCTGATATCCTTTCTTCCTCTGATATGCTTGATCAATTTGGCTATTGATACTTGTGTATGCTTTCCAAAGTTCTCATGCTGTGTTTTTCAGCTCCATCAGATCATTTACATTATTCTCTAAACTCTTTATTTGAGTTAGCAGTTCCTGTAACCTTCCATCAAGGTTCTTAGCTTCCATGGAATTGGGTTAGAACATGCTCCTTTAGTTTAGAGGAGTTTGTTATTACCGACCTTTTGAAGCCTAGTTCTGTCCATTCGTCAAACTCATTCTCTGTCCAGTTTTGTTCCCTTGCTGGTGAGGAGTGGTGATCCTTTAGAGAAAAGGCATTCTGGTTTTTGGAATTTTCAGCATTTTTGCATTGGTTTTTCCTCATTTTCCTGGATTTATCCTGGTAGATTATCTGGATCTTTGGTGTTGGTGACCTTCAGATGGGGTTTTTGCCTGGGTGTCCTTTTTGTTGATGTTGATGCTATTGCTTTCTGTTTGTTGGTTTTCCTTCTAACAGTCAGGCCCCTCTTTGGCAGGTCTGCTGGAGTTTGCTGGTGGTTCACTCCAGACCCTGTTTGCCTGAGTATCACCAGTCGAGGCTGCAGAACAGCAAAGATTGCTGCCTGCTCCTTCCACTGGAAGCTTCGTCCCAGAGGGGCACCCACCAGATGCTAGCCAGAGCTCTCCTGTATGAGGTGTCTGTGGAACCCTGCTGGGAGGTGTCTCCCAGTCAGGAGGCATGGGGGTCAGGGACCCAGTTGAGGAGGCAGTCTGTCCCTTAGCAGAGCTCAAGCGCTGTGCTGGGAGATCCTCTGCTCTCTTCAGAGCCTGCAGGCAGGAACCTTTAAGTCTCATGAAGCTGTGCCAACACCTGTCCCTTCCCCACAGTGTTCTGTCCCAGGGAGATGGGAGTTTGATCTATAAGCCTCTGACTGGGGCTGCTGCCTTTCTTTCAGAAATGCCCTGCCCGGAGAGGAATCTAGAGAGGCAGTCTGGTTACCGCGGCTTTGCCGAGCCCGCAGTGGGTTCAGCACCCAGTTTGAACTTCCCTGAGGCTTTGTTTACACTGTGAGAGGAAAGCCACCTACTCAAGCTTCAATAATGGCAGATGCCCCTCCCCGCACCAAGCTCAAGCATCCCATCCCAGGTCGACTTCAGACTGCTGTGTTGGCAGTGAGAATTTCACACCAGTGGATTTTAGCTTGCTGGGCTCCGTGGGGATGGGAACCTCTGAGCAAGACCACTCAGCTCCCTGGCTTCAGCCCCCTTTCCAAGGGAGTGAACAGTTCTGTCTCACTGGCATTCCAGGCACCATCGGGGTACGAAAAAAAAAACTGCTGCAGCTAGCTTGTTGTCTGCCCAAATGGCTGCCCAGTTTTGTGCTTGAAACCCGGGGCCCTGGTGGTGTAGGCACCAGAGGGAATCTCCTGGTCTGTGGTTTGCGAAGACTGTGGGAAAAGCACAGTATCTGGGCCAGAGTGCAAAGTCCCTCAAGACACAGTTGCTCAAGGCTTCCCCTGGCTAAAGGAGGGAGTTCCCCTGACTGCTTGCACTTCCCAGGTAAGATGATGCCCCACCCTGCTTCAGCTCATCCTCTGTGGGCTGAACCCACTGTCTAACCAGTCCCAATGAGATGAACTGGGTACCTCAGTTGGAAATGCAGACATCACCCACCTTCTGCATTGGTCTCACTGGGAGCTGCAGACCTGCAGACGGGAGCTGTTCCTATTTGGCTATCTTGCCACCATGCCCCTCCCCCAGCTTTGGATTTAATACAGAAGTAAAATCAATGATTATAAACAAATATAATTTTAAAAAGTACTTATGTTTAGAAAAAAGAAAAATCAATATCTAGAGGGAAAGAAAAAGAAAGACAGTTAATGTATCTGTTTACTTCATTCAAAAATCTTTTCTATTTATATATAGCAGGGAAATTTTTTAAAATAATGACATATTTGCATATGTTAATTTCTATAAAAATGCCTAGCTTGAATTCCATCCTAGACTCAAATACACATTGGCTGTCTAACTTCAAGAAAGACAAATAAATTAATTCAGGAATTATGTTTTAACTTAAAAATCAATAATTGGAAAGCGAATTTCCCCAGCCTGTTATTTTTATATTACATGAAAATCCTTCAAGGAATAGTTTGTGATATTTGAACAGCAAATTTCAGTGATACTGTTGAAATATAAAATAAGAATGTTCAGGACAAGTTATTTACATATATTTGTGCTTCAGTTTCTCAATTCACAAAATAACGACAATAATTTATTATCTCATAGGGTTGTTGTGAGGATTTAATGACTACGTATATAATTTAAAAATATCTATATGTCTTTTCTAAGTACTTTATATTACTCAGTATTATCATAAGCAGCAAAATTAAATTATAAAAGAAAGCTAAACAAGCAGGAAATTAAACACACTCAAAACATACACATAAACATACAAAGAAGCGAACTTTTCAAATTTCCCCACCTTTTTGTTACAAAAAAAGTAAACAAAAAAAAAAGTTTAGTTTTCAAAGGCCCATTTTAGAGGTATTGCTTTATCAATGATTATACATTAAATAAGAAGAAGCAATAATAGACCTCCCAATGCCAGGGTTTAATTAGATTTGAATTTTACAGTTATCTCAATGGAATGTTTTTCCATCTGTAAGATCACCTTTTCTAATGCTTTATGAAGCAGACATGGACATCTTCTGTCTCCTTTCCTTCAGGACCAAGAAAAGTGGTAAAAAGTCTGTAGCTTTTACTACAGCCCATAGCTGTACCATATAACAGATAAAATAGTGCTTTTTGTAATTGGAAAAATTTTATGGTGTTCAGAAATAGTATTATTAAGTAAAGCAAGGATTTGATTCTAAATCCTGATTTGCAGAGAAAGCTTAAGCAAGTCACTAAATGTAATTTTACAGTCAATAAAATAATTGATAAGAATCCTGAAATGCCACTTAGAAATGCCTTGTCAAAACTTCAAATTATAAATGTGAGATTTATAAAACTGTCTACTATGTTATTATGGTTATCATGCAAAAGGGCAATCTTTTGATTGGAGTTTATTCAAGCAAAACAAATTAGAAGCATTCTCATTTTGCTTAGTTCTCCAAGGCATAAATAGATTATCTAATTGGTCTTTCTTTTGTTTCTCAGATTTATATCTAATAGCTTGCTCTGAGCAATAATAATTTGAGTAGAGAACTGGAGAACTTCTTGTTCCCCTTAAATTCACATTACTAAATCTCAAGGCCATGGCCATTTAGCAATATGCTCAGTCTCTAGCTCCTAACACCATCTTGTCTTGAGTACAGTAGAAAGTACATTTGTTGATGAATATTTGTCAGGAATTTAACACTAGCTTACATGTTAAATTTTCATCCTTGAAAAAAGATGCCACTTATACTAAAGCTTAAGATCTTCCTCTTAGATTATTTTTGGAGTTCACGAAAGGTGCAATACCAAACAATAGGTCAGAATTTAGAAAACATGATTTCTCCATTTAATGAACACAACAACCTAAAGTGAATAGATATGTCTTGCTTTATGGAAATTACACTGAACCATTATGTCATAGATAAAAAGAACAATGGAGTGAATGAATAAACCACCAGCTCATCTGGCTGGAATCTCATTTGTAATGAGCATTTGCCAAAGCTGGCTACGTTTTTTGGTTTCTCATCTGCCTGGCCCTCCTGATTTATTGATGTGTTTGACTTTCTCCATTCACAACCATCCTGATTCATTTCCTGGCTTTTAAAATCTTTCCTGGCATAATGCCTTCATGGGCTTCCATCTCAGAAGTAGAACCTTCTTCCTTCTTTGGACTTATTCCAAAATCAACTATATTCAACTGAAACTTTTAAAGTGGAGTCTTCACCAACCAAGGCCCTGATCTGTTTACTTTTAGCTCTACCACAGATGAGACAGCCAGGCAGAGGCAACATTCCTCCTTTGGCCTTCTTTATATTGGGCTTAAAAGATCAGTTTTCCCAGCACTATGGGAGGCCAAGGCGGGCAGATCACGAGGTCAGGAGATCGAGACCACGGTGAAACCCTGTCTCTACTAAAAATACAAAAAATTAGCCGGGCGTCGTGGCGGGCGCCTGTAGTCCCAGCTACTCCGAGAGGCTGAGGCAGGAGAATGGCGTGAACCCGGCAGGCGGAGCTTGCAGTGAGCCGCGATTGCGCCACTGCACTCCAACCTGGGCGACAGAGCAAGACTCCGTCTCAATTAAAAAAAAAAAAAAAAAAAAAAAAAAGATCAGTTTTTGGGCCAGTCATGGTGGCTCACGCCTTTAGTCCCAGCACTGGGAGGCCAAGGCAGGCAGATTTCTTGAGACCAGCCTAGGCAATATGGCGAAACCCCATCTCTTAAAAAAAATCTTTTAAAATTATTTTATTGACTTACAGGACAAACACAATTGATAGTGTTGACTAAGAGGATTCTGTATCCATGAGAAAGCATTGTAGAAACATTAATGACAGCATCATGAGGTACTACTGAGTCCAATAAACAGTCTTCAGTCATAAATCCTGGATTTTCTCTCTGTATCTTGTGGTGAATCCTTAATTGATTTAGAAGATTGCTGGATATCTCCATACCTCATTTCCTTGCCTGTATAAATGTGGAAAAATTATGGTCACTACCATGTTTGGTAAATAGTGGTCTAGATGCTTTGTTCTTATTTTGTAAATCCATCAGTCTGAAGATTTCCTCACTGTTCTAAAGCTCTTGAGTGTTTTGATATACATTTGATGTGGAAAGCACAAGCAGCAAAAGAAAAAATATATATATATATAAGTATTCTATGTATCTCATTTTGCATTTTTAAAATATGTGGCTTTAGGTTGCAAACCTAGAAGGTCTGAGAGGAAATAATGGAATTTTGTCTCATTTTTGTTGGAGTATAGCAATATAATAAAGTATATCCTCAAGTCATGAAAAATATTCATGGCTATATTCCAAGAGAAATATTTATTTAGAATACTTAGGTTAAAATTTGATCTCGTTATATAAGCAATACAATTGCATACACTTTTCAGTGCTAATTATTTTAGAAGACCAGGCTGGTATTTCATTCTTATTTCTTCCCAATACACAATGCAACTTAGAGATGGCTATATGATTATGACCTCATGGACAGGGTTTTGTTCCTTATGTAGGCCTGCGAGGCCTACAGAGAAAAATTCTCATTCCAAGACTTCAACTGAACTGCTGGTGTTAACTAACTGCCATTCAAATGGGTCTGGGTAAGAAGACAGAGCAGGAGAAAGAATGAGTCTAGCAAATAATCTACATTATATAATATATTCTTCATATGAGCAGACTAGTATGTGAAACGCCTATGAACAAAATATGTCTCATGAATCTGTAAGAACACACTGTGGTTTTAAAAATGATTCTGGTTTAATTTCAAAGGTGGGTTGCATCATACTGGAGGTTACAGTAGGGTAGTGGCAATATGTGCAGTACATCGGTCCCCAAACCTGCATCACTGTTAGAATCACTTGGAGTGGCCCCTGCAAACTTTAGAATCAGAAGTTCCAAGATATGTCCTGGGAATCTTATTTTTGGAATCTCTCTAATTTGGGAGCTACTATTGTAATGGCCAGAAAGTAGACTTGAAGTCAGAGAGACCAAGATCTAAGTTTGCTGAGTCTCACTTTTCTTATAGTAATGAGGAAAAAATGATAAACTGCTTTGTAAAGTGCTGCCAGATTAGAGTAAATCATATGGAAAAAATCTATCAAAATATTGTTACTCAGGATAACCATTATTTAAAAAATCAATTAGCATGTTTCACAAGGTATATAGTGTGTCGCAATGTATACAATGACCACGATGTCTCACAATGTATACACTTATCAAAACATCAAGCTGTACACTGTAAATATATATAATTTTTGTCAATTATACCTTAATAAACCTGTGGAAAAATAAAATTGTTTTAAAAACAATAATAAATGTTATAATGTAGGATGTATAACTTCAACCAGGAGAACAAGATTGGTTAAGTAAGATTAGAGAAGAGTTCAGAAGTTGAGAGTTAAAAAATAATATAAGAAGAAAGGAAAATGGTGAATGAGGCCATGAATGAGCAATTCAGAGTGATGGAGAAGGCATTAAAGCGGGAAAGCATAAAAAGTGAAGATCAGAACCATAAAGAGAGCAATAACCAAATTGTCAGTAGTGTTGAAGCATAGGCCATAGAGGGAACGAATCCAGAACTTAGTGAGAATGTCCCAGAACCCCTGATCAAGAACCAAGGCAGAACCCGGGCAGGAGAGATCAGAGCCCAGCAAAGGAGGATCATTCACCAGTAACAGTGTGTATAGCCCAACTCCAGGTTACTGTTGAGGCAGCCCTCTTGGATTCATGGGATAGGGATAGGCAATGGGGAGCACACAATTATGGGTCTTGCATGAGCACAGATGGTTCTGGGCCATGGTGTCTGAGGTGATATTGCAGTTCTCCCCATTTAGCTCCCATTCTGTGGATATAAAGAAACAGATAAAAAGACTAAGGCAGTTAAAATTCTTCTTAAATTTGAAGAAAAAAATGTAAAGAAATAGATTTGTCTTTCATGACCAGTAACAATAAGACATCACATCTTTGTTAATTCACATAAAATGTTTTTCTCTCAATGCAAGGTTTGAAGAGATAGGTAGATTTGGATCTGGGAAGAGAAAGGCAAAGAGTTTACCTGTGAGGGAAACATGAACTGAGACTTGGAAGCAAGAATGACAATTTTTTCAGAGAGAAAATTCATCTGCCAACAAAGTTAGCAGTAGTGGAGGAAATGATTGAAAAAGGAACAATTAGAATGTCACTGCAGTGATTTGGGTGTTACCTTTACTAAAATTTTACTACATAGTTCAGATCAGAGGACTATTATATCTTTTGTATTCTTTCTTTTTTTTATTTTAGTAAAGACATTCTATTTCCTTTGAGTTTTGTAGAATTATTCATATGTTTTTGATTCTGCTATCTAATTATGTAAGTACTAGACCGAACTAAAGATTAATTTCTGGTTTGAGTGTTGTTTACCTGAAATGTTTAACAATATCATTTGATAGAACTAAAAATTGATTTCTTGTTTAAAAATGTTGTTTCCTCAAAATGCTTAGCAGTGTCATGTGACTGCTTTGGTTGGAACATGACCATTCAAAAGCCTTCATGGAATCTAGACTGTCTTAGAGGTTTGACTGTGTTATGTCAAATATATTAAGATGGTCCCACATCCCACATTCAACATCATTTATATGTAATTGGATAAACTGTGTTTCAATGTAGTTGAATAGTTGGTATAATATACTATTTTGAAAACACTTTATTAATCAGTTAATAATTTTAATTTATAATTTTATTTTCATAGTTTTGAGCCAATAATTTTTTTTAGAGTCCCAAAAATCTGACAAGCTCAGGATGCAGTCCTTTTAAAGATTTATGAAAAAACAATTGGCCTTGCAGGTGAAGGTTATTTTACATATGTAAGATAACCTCTTAGAGAAAACATGTCTTAAGAGTCATTAAAGACTGTGAGAGAATGTTTGTTCATCCATTGAATATCCTGTTTCTCATAATCATAGGATTTGGTGACTAGTTTCTTGAGTTGGTATATTTTGTGTTTAAGTATTTTTTTAAAAGTATCTTGTAAACTTTGGAAAGGCACAGCCTTTTTTTTAGGCCTTGTTTTATACTCAGGATCAGCCCAGTTACTTCTACTTAGTAAAAGTTTATATACTAATTGTTCTTTCAAATTCCAACCACTTCATTTTAAAAAATAATAAGTTTATTAAACTTATACTTTGCGAGTAAAGTTCCTATGCTTGTGCCAACTGGCAGAAATCATGAGAATGTGTTACCAATAGGTTGATTGCACAATATTTAAGAATTTATTCCCAACTTCCTATGTTCTGACCAACATAAAATTTTTAAAAGGTCAGCATATAGGTTTTTGTATTGAAACTAACCTTCTCAAAGTTTGTGTCTCTGCATGTTATTGAGTTTAATGCCAGCACTGAACTTAACACATAAATAGAAAAAGGACATCTGCCATTTCGTAGACTTACCAATAAAATTCTGTTACAAATTAACTGGTTGCTTTGTTAAGTATTTTCTTGTATAAAGAAAACTTATCTTATAACCTAACAAAACCCAACCCATGTATATCTCATGTACTTTTCCTTTCCAACTGGCAATTAAACTATTTAAAATCAATTTGTTTTGAAAGGCATTGTGACACTTCTTAGCCTGAGAACTGCCATATCATAGCAACTAGGGTGGAGGCACAAAAACTGAACTGGTTCACAGGAAGTCTATTTTGAAAAGGCCATAGGGACCACTCACATCAGTGATGCATGGCATATTCAGAAAGTCACCGAAGGCTGCAATATTTCTCTCTTTTTATAGGAGAATAAAATAGTATGATTTATAAAAGGGTGGAATAATGGAATGAGTAAAGAGGACATAAATATCCTAAGTTATTTTTACGTAGTACAGCAAATTTTCTTTTTGAAATGGAATTTTTTTTTAAATCAGTGGTTGTTGT
The DNA here is from genome assembly GCF_000001405.40 of Homo sapiens. NCBI lineage: Eukaryota > Metazoa > Chordata > Mammalia > Primates > Hominidae > Homo > Homo sapiens. The sequence goes on from NC_000004.12 coordinate 114,020,451, forward strand.
CATTATATTGTTTAAAAGGAAATGATATCACCTGTTAAAATGTCACCCATTTGGAAAAATATAGAAAAAACATATATTTATATATATATAAATATATATTATATATAATCTGTATAAACTAGCAAGAAGAATTAATTCAAAATATTACTCCATTATGTGGCATTTAGGAGTAAGAGAACAATAAAATTATTTAACAGTTTTGAATTTGGAAAATATAATGTGACAGAGTAAGCAAATATATCCTGCCAGCTTAAATCACTAGAGATTTTTACAGCATATCTTTATTCCTAACTATGAACGTAAACAAGTGAAAATTATAGAGGATAAAATATACCATTTTAGTCATAGCTTTCAGTATTATTTCCCTAACAATTTTTCTTTGTTACATCTAAATGCTTCTAAATCAGAATAAAATAACTCATTAGATTTTTGCCGGACATTGTGTTGGAAAGCACTTTTTTTTTCAGTTACTTTATTCCTTAGAGAAAAGAGAAAGGAATGAAATAAGGAGTGAAAGAAAAACAAGAATAAAGACATCTGTGTGGTCTGATAGAATAATGTGATGTGGAGGCCTGCAGAGAGATCTCTATGGACTGAAGAAAGTACTGGAACTTCTGATAAGAGCTTAGTCTTAGTGAAATAACGAACTTCCCAAACGTAGAATCCACAGAGGAGGGTTCCAGAGTATGTTTGTTGGGCTCAGTTGAATAGCTTATAGTATATAGTATATAGTCACTTAATGATGGGAGTACATTCTGAGAAATGCATCTTTAGGTGATTTTGTCATTGTGTGAACATCATAGAGTGTCCTTACATAAACCTAGATGGTATAGCCTGCTACACACCTAGGTTATATGGTATAGCCTATTGCTCCTAGGCTACAATCCTGCACAGCATGTAACTGTACTGAGCACTGTAGGCAATTGTAACACAACAGCAAGTATTTTTGTATCTAAACATATTTAAATATAGAAAAGGTACAGTAAAAATGTGGTATAATCTTATGGGACCACCATTGTACATGTGGTCTATCATTGGTGGAAATGTTGTTTTGTGGCACAGACTATTTGAATACTTGGTATATTATATGTATATAATCATATATATTACATATATATAATATATGTAATACGGCTAAAAGAATCTGCAGCTGCTGCTGTCTGCTGTCTGTCCCCAAAGCTGCTGCCATGGTAACCATACTACGCTCCCAAGCAAGTATGAGTGTTTCAGTTTCACGTATTTAGATATGCCCTTTGGGCCATTTTCAAGACACTGGCTTTTCATTTCCAAATATTAAAGCTGAAACTCTGAAGCAAGAAGACTTGTGATGAAGAATAAATGCTCATCAACTCTTTGGGATTGAAGCTTTGAATCCTGACCAGTGAGAAAGAGTTTGCAAATAAGAATTGGAGAGCTTTTGCTGGGCCAACAATTTTTAGTGTTAATTTGTGTGTGGCTGCTGTGCCTGTCTAAAGGGAGCATGTTCTTAAGCTACAAGCTGGACTTTCCTAGCAGCAGGTTGGGAAGAGTGATGATATGGAAAAATGTCCACATTGGAAGTTTTCTTGGTTACACACTTTCCAGAAGAAACTTAATTTCACAGAAGGCATTCTTGTTTCATCACTTCTTGTTTAAGAAGCTTGATGGAGATACTTGAGGTCTTAGAATCTTTTGTTAAATGGAGATAAAAAAAATACATACCTTTTAGTGTAGCTATGAAGATTAAGTAAAACAATATTTTTAAATGAATTAATGTAATGAACATGATGACACTAATAATAACTGTTATAGGCTAAATTGTATCCCCTCCAACTTCATATGTTGAAATCCTAACCCACAGTACCTCAGAATGAAGCTGTTTTGGAGATAAGGCTTTTACAGAGGTGATTACATTAAAATGGGAATGGTGATATGGGCCTTAATCTAAGTGATGCAGTTTTTGGTATTTTGTTATGGCAACCTTAGCAAACTAACCCAATAACTAACAGAGATGGAGAGCTTACTCTAGGTTTTATAATTGGTTCTATTTAATAGAAGAATTGCTAAATTAATTTAGAGACCATGGATGAAGATGCTGAAGGAAACATTCTTCCACCTTTGCCTTTAACTTCCCAATAGAACAGCTGTCACTTAGGCAATTTATTGTATCTGTATTATTGCAAGAACAAAGTAACTGAAAGGGTCCTTCACAATTTCTTTGTTACGTAACTTAGTTCTAAATGAAATATATTTAATTTTCAAATAAAATCTGGATTTTAAATTAATTTTGTATTCATTTTCTACCCATGAAAATGTTCCTTACAAATATTGTGATGTTTGAGTGTGGAGTGAGTGGAAACGTAAACCCATTTCAAAGAAGATATTTGTTTACTATATTCTTGCAAAGCATACTTTATATTGGCCCAACCTGAAAGATCTACTAGCTTTTGCTTCCTCTTTAAACAAGTGTAGTCAGTTTTACTTCCTCCCATTTTAATGTGTTTCTCTATTCTGGTGAATATGGATAAGTCTTTTCTTTCTTTTATGGTAAGTAGGAAGAAGTCTGAATCACAATTCAAAAGTCAAATTTAGTCTAAGTCAAAAATAGAAGGGGCACTAAATAAATAGGCATTTTATGATGTTCTAAGAATGCCATCAAAATTTCTGTTTAAGATTTCTGTGTGTATATGTTATATATGCATATGTATGTGATTATTAACAATATAACAGAAATAACCTGTATTGTATGTTGCTTATCTATCTATCTATCTATCATCTATCTATCTATCATCTATCTTCTATCTATCATCTTTTTTATCACATACATTTTAGCTTGGGACATAAATACAGGTTAGGTAATTAACTCTTAGCAAATTAATTAAAATGGGAATTCTTTTATTGAGGTCACATATATTTAAGTTTTAAAAACCACCTACCTGTTACTTTCAGTGTTGGTTTTTTTCCTTTAAAGATTAAGTGTAATTACCATTTGTAAATTAATTTTTAGGCGATTATTTGACTAGTAACTTGACTCTCTGACCTAGAAGAAAAAGGAGCAAAAGTCAGAAAACTCATTGAATATTGACTACAAACTGTGGTAATGCTAGATTTCCCAACAAAAATCAACTATGTAAGCTTTGGTTATATAGGTTAGTAATGCCTAGGGACAGCTTAAATTTGTAGTATGTGTACATTAGTTCATCTGAACTTTAATTAAATAAGGCATACTTTGTGTCTTGCTTATTTTGGCTTCTATTAGTTTCTTCATGACCATTCTAGGTTTTTTATCCCCATGGTCTACTAGTTTAAAAAAAAATGCTTGTTAAAACACGTTTAATCTCAAAATTGTATCATTTAAACCAAAGGACAACCATATTTTATAGACTATTCCAGTATTATATAAATTGTTATGATTTTGTCACATTTGCTGTGTATTTTATGAATAATGATGAGCACTTAATAAAATTATTTTTTTCTACCTCTGCATATTTGCTATATTAAAGTCAAGTACTTTTGCTTATACACCTGGGTGGAAGAAAAATTTTTCTGTGTTAAAAAACAGAAGAAACATTGAAATATTTGTTTTCAGATGGTAAAAAATACTGCTTGGAAATATAAATCAATATAAACAAATACTTTAAGATCTTCTAGGTGATGAATGCATAGTAAAAGTGTAGTATTTTCTTTTGAGGACATAAATGAATGATAATCATTTTTGAATGTAACTATCATAAATTAGACAATGCCTAAATTTTTGGTTTACCATTTTTAAAGGATCATGTGTGGGGCCTGCCACTTATACACATGCCTTATCTGGCAGATGCCTTTTTCAATTAGTACCTCATTTACAATATCATAAATGCAATGGTTTATTGATAAAAACTTTTAATAACCCCTTAATGGTAGTTGGGTCGCACACTGAGTCTTGTACTCCACAGGAAGACAGATTACCTTCACTGTTATTGAAAATATCTGACTTTAGAGTGTAAAAACATAAGATCTGCTCCTCTGATCTGTTTATTTTGAGGTGGGCTGTTAGATACTGACAGTGGTTATGGTGGTCCTATGGAAGGGGTGGTTTTTCTTTCTTGACATCATCCTCAAAAGTTGAGGACTTGCATCAAATCCCCCTCTCCTTTCCTCTCTTTCTTATTCACTCCATCCTGTCCTCGTAAATAGTATATACTAATGTCATTTTATAGATTCATCATACCTATAAAAAATATAAACCATGTAGTTATGGGAAGTAATTTATATTTATATTAATATGTTCCAAGTTTTCTGAGACAAGCAACTGTGTCCGATTAACTTTTGTCTCCTACCTGTGTCTCTTGTGTCTAATGTAAGCTTTGGTACCAATAGCAGATACTAAATATCTGTTGAGTGAATGACCGGCCTAAATATCCTTCTGAGATAAAGTGTTCCATCATGAGCTGTATGAGGTAATGATTAATTTGTTTTAAATTGATTCTTTTGAGTTTTAAACTATAACTTTTTAACCCAATATGCCAGCATAGATGAAAATATCTTATAGATACCATTTATATGTTCTTGGGAAACCTATAAATGTCTCAATATATTTGAAATTGTTCAGATTAAATTTCTCCCATCAAGAAGAATGGGCAAACACTGAGTTTAGTTGTGGAAAATTGAGTGGGCTATTAGTAGACCTGAACTTGTGATTTGAGAAATGTGTACCTTCACCTGCGGATAAAATGTAATATCTCATTTTGTAGACTTACTAGGTACTTGTAACAATGAGTTAAATATGTATGATATACTTTCTAGCAAAGTTGCTATGTAGTTAAATAACAAGAATGGTGCAGACCATTAGTTTAATAGGAATTCAAACACTGTGGTCTAGAAAGGTGAGTAAAGTTTCACTTCAGGAAGTGAAACCTGAGAAAGGCTGTGAAAAATACGTGCCAGCTGAAGGGACATTATATGGTTCAAAGTCCTAGGAAGCTGCTAGCAGCGTGTGAGTGCTAGCACCCTGCCCCTCGCCTTGGGGAATTGTTGCCTATGCATAGTCACATTAGTCCAAGCCTTGTGGAACTTCTATCTAATAAGCTTCTATACCATCAAGGGTAATATTTTTGTACAAGATGAATAGTTCTAGATGCTCTACTTCCTCTGAGAGTTGGATCAATAGTCCTGCATTGCTTAGTCATAGCTAGACATTTGACTACAAGAACATCTATCTTCACAAAACTCATCCCTATACGGTTCTGCCCAGCCCTTAATTTGATCCTCTCACTTCCATCATATTTCTCTTGTTCTTCGTAACAAAACCACCTCAAATGTGTCATCTTTTCTAGGAACATTTCCTTATATTCTTGCTTTATCAAAAAACTGCCTGTCCCTTTTTATTGTCAGCTCAACTTGGCCCTCTCAAAAGAAAGTTGTTCTTTCTCGTAGTGATTACATGAGGTATGACAGGGTTGACTTGTCTTCTTTGATTTTGGTTTGCAATATTAGCTCTTTATCCATCTCCCTCCTGCAAATGCCTACCACCGTTCTTGATGCATATGCCTCCTCTATCTTTTTGTTACTGTTGTCTATTTACCTATGTATTAAGGCCCTTTTATTCAAGCATATAGATTTCTAAATTCTGTACAGTATATTTATTTGTGACTTCAGCATCCACATAAATAAAACATGTAAAATGGAGGCTTTTTGGTTCTTTCATCTTCTCATCTCCCAATTTTTTTTCATTCCTAGCTAACCACTTTCACTTAATGTCTTTTCAGCCCCAGAAAACTTACCACTTCTGAAATCTTGGTTTTAAATATTCCATTGTCCAATAATGATCATTTATTTATCTGGAGCATTTATTCAGGTATCTCTACTGCCACAATTCTTCAAATACATCAATACTCCAACCCTGACCCACACCTGTTATCACCACTCCAAGCTTCATTTTTACCCTGGCGTTTGTGATCTCTGTCCATCATGAGATTACTTCATGGCAAATATCCTTCAATCCCTTACCCCTCTCTCCTTTCATTTTAGTTACCCTGAAAAACTTGGCCATGTGCCTTTTTATGATTTAATTTGAGTGGGGAAACTTTGCTGGAGAAAGATCACAGGACTCTGTGATCTCAAATTTCAAACTTCCACTCCATACCACTCATTAATCCTTTCATTTTCTTCTGATAGGATCATGTTTCCACTTTGAAAATGAGAACTTTATACCTTTTGTTTTCTCTTCAAACCACCCATAACTTCTTTCTGTTCACAGCTGTTAATTGTGCTGTCTCACTTCTTCCCCTTCCATTTACACCACAACCCACTGTGATCAGGCTTCTCTGCCCAATTATCTGAGCCCCGCATTCCACTGAAAAACCTCGTAACTAGGTCAATATTAACATTTCATTGTCTATAACTTGCTCGATTTCTCACCATTATGTGAGACAGTAAATACTAATTTTTTTTTCCCACTCACTTTTCTCCTGTGGCTTCTGTTCCACCACCCTACTGATTTTTTTAGACTTAATGGTTACATCTACTTAATTTTCTTAGCTGGTTACCCTTCCTTTAAATATCTGTGCTTCTTAATTTTAGGTTCTAGATCTACTTTGCTTCTTCAACAAACATTTTCTAGGTGATCTCATCAATTGACATAAATGTGAACTCAGTATTTATTCTGATGGCTCCCAAATGTTTATATTTATCCCCAAGCTCTTGAATTTCATTTCAGAATGTTTATCTGACAACACAGCTGGGTGTTATGTATACCTTGCAAACACAATCTATCCAAAAACAGAAACTCATGATTTTCTGTTCTAAATCTCTCCAAAGTCTCCTTTCTCCTTGCCACCTTAGTAAACATCATCAAAATCCACTTAGTTGTTTCTTCTAAAAGCAAAAGAGAAATGTATTTATTTCTCCCTTACTGTACTTATTCATCAATACATTCTGTTGTATTGTATTAGCAATACAATAGAATCTTGTATTCTCTTGTATCTTGTATTCCCAAATTATTCTTCAAATCTGTATACTTTTCTCCATCTCTACTCTCCTGTCTCCAGTTCAGATTACTATCCTTTCTTGCCTGGAAGATAGGTTACTAACTTGTTTCCTTTATGTATTATTGTTCCCTTTAAACTATTCTCCACAAAGCAGCAAGTGTGATCTAAAAGTTAAATCAAATTATATTATTCCTCTGCATAAAACCTATCAATGGCTTCTAATTTTACTAAGAATGAAAGACAGACTTCTTTCCATGAATTACAGAATCACCCATGTTATGGTTTCTATTCACTTCTTCAAATTCATTGCAGACCACTCTCCCAGTTGTTCACTCTTAATGACATTCTAGCCTTTCAGAAGTTTAATGAAGCCATCAAAGCCTTTTCCTGTCCAGGGTATTTGAAGTCATTGTTGCATCAACATGGAAGATTTCCTTTCAGACTTCAATGTCAATGCCATGAAAGTCACATCTTTTTCTTGTTTGTTGTTGATTTCTCAGCATCTAGAATGGCTCCTGTCACACAGTAGGTGTTTAATATGTATTTGCTGAGTTAAGTAAATGCATAAATTTCATCCCTGATCTTAGCTGAAATATCCCCTCTTAAGGTAGGCTTTTTCTAACCACTGTTTCTGAAACAGCTTCCACCCTAGATTAAATTACACTATACCATTTTATTTTCCTTCATTTCAGTTTTTAGTCTGCACTTACTTACCTTGCTTTCTTACTTTTTTGCTTGATTATTGCCTATATTCTCTATGGGCAATAATTGCTGATATTCTATTATTGCTCATGTTCTCTATGGGCAATAATCAAGAATAGAAATTCAGTGAGGTCATCTTTTGGCTTTGTTACAACTGAAATTTCAGTGCCTGGCACAATGCCTATATGCAATAATCCCCAGTTAATATTTGTGAAACAAATGAACACATGAGTAATTGAACAATAAGAGCAATACAAAAAGATTTCAGAGGGAAAGAAGAGGGAATATCAAGGAGGCAGACTTTCACCCTTTATCAAAATTTAGCCAAAGTAAGCATAAAGAGGCTATTGTTTACCCATTAAGATTATTTATAAAAATGTCAAATTGTACATGTTCTTATAGTAACTCATATTCTTATACATTTTAATACAGAAAGTACAATTTGTTGTGTTTTTAAAAAAATTTCCTTTCCCCTATTCTTAACCAATTTCTTGGTTAAGATGACAAATGTTCCTCCAACCCTGCCCATGTTGATAGAATCCTGTTTTCAGTCTTTGATGTGGAAACTTTCCAGTGGTTTTTGGAAATTTAAATCATTTAAGACTAGTAAAACATAGTTGTTGTTGTTTTTTTTTTTTTTCTCTGCTAAACCATGAACATTTTTCTCCTCAGTGAGAGTGTCATCTAAATGCTTAGTAATTCTACCTTTAATGCATGCCTGGCTGTTCCTATGGTATCTTATGGCTGTTAAACTTTTCTAAGAAAAAATATGATCTATTATGCTTTTGAATTTATTTAAAATATCATCTGCTTATCAAAAAGTAGATAAAATAAGAACGTAAACATCAACAAATTATCCACCTTTCAAATCAAGAAATAGAAAACTACCAGTGCTCCAGAAGACCTATCCCCCCAAACACTCCCAATCTCTATCCTCTTCTTTCTCACTACAGTTTAGTTTGGGCTGATTTGAAATGTATGGAAAGGGGATCATAAAATATGCATTTTTTTGTGCCTGGCTTCTTTCTTAAAACATTATGCCTATAAGAGGCATCCATGTTGTTATGAGCAGCAGTGTTTCATTCTCTGTCATTGCTATTTATTGTCCCACTGGACAGAGGTTCCACAGTTTTTCTATCCATTTCACTGTGGATGGAAATTGGGGTTATTTCCAGTTTTCGACTTTTATGAATAATGCTGCTATGAAAATTCTTCTATATGTCTCTTGAAATACATGTGCAAGCGTTTTTGTTAGAAACAATCCTAGTAGTGGAATTGTCATGTTATAGGGTGTGTATATGTTCAATTTTAGTGAATAATGTCAAATAGATTTCCAAATTCCCTGTATCAATTAAAACATTAGCCCACAGCATGTGAGAATTTCAGCTGCTCCATATCCTTGCCATCTTTTGGTACTGAAAGGCCTTTTATTTTAGCCATTCTAATGGGTATACAGTATTATCTCATTGTGATTTTAATTTTTCTAATTAATAGTACTATTCCATACTTTTGTATATGTTGCTGGAATGTTTTATAGGTCTTGTGCTCATTTTTCTCTGAGGTTGTGTTTTTTCCATATTGATTTTTGTACTTGTGTTTTATTTATCTTGCATGTAAGCTGCTTACCTTGTATATGTACAGCAAATATATTTGCTCATTTCTCATTCTATGACTTGTTTTTTAACTTTCTTAATGCCATATTTTGATAAACATAATTTCTACATATTAAAGTCATTTAATTGATCATTTTTATTCTTATTGTTAGGACTCTTGCTTCATATTTAAGAAATCTTTACTTAAGGTTGTGAATATATGCTCTTGTATTTTCTTATCAAATTATATTACTTTGCTTTTACATTTATATCCATTTCATATGGAATTGTTTTTTGTGTGTGGTGTGAGGTAGAACTCATATGGGTGTTCAATTAAACCAACTTCATTTATGAAAAGATCCATTTCTTCCTCATTGTGCTAAGGGGCCACTTTAGCAAAAATTAGGTAGAAATATTTATAATCTCCCTTTTTCTCTTACATTGTACTCTTTTTCTATTCTTGTACCAATACCACACTACCTTAATTATTGTAGCTTTATAATAAGTCTTGATATCAGTAAAACAAATCCCACCTTATTTTCCTTCAAGTGTGCATTGCTATTCTTGGCCCTTTGTGATTCCTCATAAATCTTAGAATCAGTTTACCTCTGCAAAAAACAAACATAAAGACCAATTTGAGAAAAATTAATGTTTTTTATAATATTGGTTCCTCTAATATATGATCACAGCATTTTCCTTCATTTGTGTAGGTCTTTTACCATTTCTGTCCATCAAGATTTACAATATTCTGCGTAGAGATGCTAAATGTATTTTGTACACTTATTGTAAGTATTTGGTAGTTTTTGCTATTGTAAGTGCTATTGTATTTGGCATTTTATATTTTTTAAAAATGTACATGTTATTGCAAATTGTATCTTATACTTTAAAAAATTTACTGGTTGTTCTCATTTAAAAGTAAATACAACTATTTCCTGATGGATAAAATGCCCCTTTATTGGAAAATTTAATAATAGGCAACTGTGGGACTATGTAGGGAATAGAAGTAATATTGAATATTTTAAAAATAAAATTCATATAATTAGGGAACTTGTTTGTGAATAATCCATTAATTTGCCCAGTCAAACTTTAATGAATGTTTTCCCTTTACCAGGTATCATGAGAGACACTGAGGACATACAACGGTCCCAAAATACAATGTAACAATTTTATGATAATATCTATCATATGAATACATAAAGCAGGCATACAGAGCTGTAAATCATTTATATATACACACACAAACATATAACTATATATAACTTACAAATTTGTAAACTCTTTTTTCCCATATCATCTAATTTAATCCCTAGGACAACTTGTGAATTTAGTCTTGTTAATACTTTGTAGTGAAAATGGAGACTCTGGCAGGATAGCAAATCTCTATCAGGAGATTTTTTGAATCAGGAGCCTGTTGCACTGTATCATAAACTTGCCCTGGCACTGAAGACCCTTCAGTCAATAGGGTACTGATGTCTTTCTCATGAATAAAGGTCGCTGATGAGATAAGCATTTATTCCCCTGGGAAGTAAACTCTATGAAGGCAAGGATTTTAATTTGCTTTGCTCACTGCTCTGTCCCCATTATGCAGAATGATGCCTGTGACATATTTAGCAATCAGTAATTATTTATTATATAAATAAAAATGAAGAAGTAAACTTTATTCTGAAGTGGACAAAGATGAAGAGAGACTTTGGCATCACTGGTTTATAGATTTAATCTAAACAATTAAATTAGGTGCCAGAATTAGAAAGACATGTGCATAGTAGGTGATTTGACAAGAGAATAGCTTGCACAAATGAGATCACTCCAGGCATTTCATTGCTCTATAATAGTAAATTTGCTTTTCTAAGTTGTTTTTCTCTTGCTTCCAAGCTAGGATCTAATTCTGCCAGCAATAAAGCAATGGAATTACATTTTAGCACAGAGAAAAAGATCCTGAAAATAATCATAACAATCTTCAAAGCAATGAATGAATCTTTTTGGATTAGCAACTTATTCAAGCCATTTGCTATAATTCCATTGTCATAGATAATTGACAGCTAACTGGCTTGTCAACTTATCTCTCTGACCCTCGATAAATTTAGGAAACATGTGTAAATATATAATTCTTATTTAAAAGACATATGGGACTATATTCTCATGCTTATCTCATTAGGACTTTGCCAAAATCTTGGGGAAGTGGATTATTCTGTTTCAAATCAATGGTGTAATTTTATAAATAAATTACTTATTTTATTGCCATATAATATGACAACGGTAACTATAAATTTAATTCAGAATTTAAATTTAATTTACAAGTATAACACATAATCATAGAAATAAATATTTTTTCATAAACATATGAATTTTCTAGGTTTTCTATTTTCTTATTGGGTTATTTCTCCTCCAGTGATACCAAACTTTCCTAACATTACAATTATTTTTCTTTTCAAAAATTGAGGGCTGGGCACGGTGGCGTAATCCCAGCACTTTGGGAGGCCGAGGTGGGCGGGATGCTGAGGCAGGAGGCAGGAGATTTGCTTGAGCCGGAGAGGTGGAGTTTGCAGTGAGCTAAGATCCTGCCATTGCACCCCAGCCCGGCTGATAGAGACTCTGTCTAAAAAAAAAAAAAAAAAAAAAATTGAGGTGAAATTTACATAACATAAAACTAACTATTTTGAAGAGCACAATCCAGTGGTATTTAGTACACTTTGCAATGCTGTGCAGCCACCACCTCTATTGAGCTTCAAAACATTTTCATTACTCCAAAGAAAGCTCCACACCCATTTAGCAGTCAGTTCCCATTCCTCCCTCTCCTCAGAACCTGGCAAACACCAATTTTCTTTTTCTTTTCTTTCTTTCTTTTTTTTTTTTGAGACAGAGTTTCTATCTTTTTGCCCAGGCTGGAGTGCAATGGCGCGATCTCTGGTCACCAAGACCTCCGCCTCCTGGATTCAAGCGATTTCCTGCCTCAGCCTCCCGAGTAGCTGGGATTATAGGCATGCGCCACCACGCCCAGCTAATTTTGTATCTGCTTTTAGTAGAGATGGTTTCTCCACGTTGGTCAGGCTGGTCTCGAACTCCAGACCTCAGGTGATCCGCCTGCCTCGGCCTCCCGAAGTGCTGGGGTTACAGGTATGAGTCACAGCGCCCAGTCCACCAATTCTTTCTCTCCCTATGGATTTATCTATTCTTGATATTTTATATAAATAGAATCATACAATATGTGGCTTTTTTGTATCTGGCCTCTTTGACTTAGCATATTGTTTTCAAGGTTTATCCATTGTAGCATGTATCAATACTTCATCTTTGATGGCTGAATAAGATTCCATTTTAGGTATATACCACATTTTGTTTATCCATTCATCTGCTGATAGACACTTGGGTTATTTCCACCTTTTGGCTGTTGTAAAGTGCTGTGGAGTATTCTTTAAAGAATGAGAAAAAAATTTGAATATTACTTTATGTCTAATATCTTACCAACTGCAGCATTCCCAACAATGATTAAATATACTTTATAAGAGTCTCATGAGGTTACCTCATAAAAGAAGCTACTCCAATATTAGTCAGCATTAATACTGTTGGACAATCCTCTATTTCAAGCCCCACATTTGTGTTTTTAGTTCTATTAAAATCACTTTAGAATACATTCACTTATAAATCACTGAAGGGAGAAACTGAAAAAAATGCTTAAGATTTTTATTGTACATGTCGTTTTTTAAAAAATAATTGATTTATCTGATATTTTTAATTAACTAAAAAAGCACTTTAACTTCTAACTTTCATAAGAAATCATTCATATATTCTACTCTATGAACTTTGATTTTATTCTCATCTGGTAACTCCTGGATGTTTCTCCTCCTTACAGTGTTTCTTGCAATCACATAGGCAAGAATTATTGAAAGATTTATTTACTTATACTCAAGAATTCTTAACTCTTTCTTTTTCAAGATTCAAATTTTATATGGACAAAGAAGAAGCAGGAAAGAAGGAACTAATTCTAATTCCACTGCAGAAAGGCTAGTATTTAATCCACCCTTCTTCTAAAAATAAATGCAAGTCCCAGCCTGGGCAACATAGTGAGACCTCATCTCTACTAAAAATAAAAAGTAAAAAAATTAACTGAGTATGATGGCATGCCTGTAGTCCCAGCTACTTAGGAGGCTGAGGTGGGAAGATCACCTGAGCCCAGGAATTCAAGGTTGCAGTGAGCGATGATCGTGCCACTGCACTCCAGCATGTGCAAAAAAAAAAAAGAGGACCTGTCTCAAAACAAACAAATAGAAAAACCACAATAAGCACAAATCCCCAAGCTAGCATTGTTTTTGCACTTTGACCTTGAATGCTTTACATTTTATCAGTAACTAATTAACCTTATTTGTCATTATAGGACATTTGATAATAACATTTATGTCTAAGTTAGTTCTCCTTATAAAGATTTTAGATGGACATGGATGTGGAACAAAAGTAAGTTCTATTCTCAGGTGAACTTACATTTTTCGCAGCTGTAGATAAGCAGTAATTGAAGTGAAAAACTGTCTCCTCTCTCCTGCCTTTGGGATGTAATGGCCATGCAGGTGTCTTTTTGCCAACTCTGTGCTCTTGACAGTGTTATTAGCTCAAAATCACCAGGGACAAAACATTTTATACAAGGAACAGACATGCTTTTATACTACTAAATGAGCTTTCTGGGCTTTCTAACACTGCCAGTTTTGTATAAAGGTGGATGCCTACCTTGTGGAGGAACATTAATAGCAGGGAATTCAAAGCAACCATTGTTAGAAGCTTGTATTTTAGAGAATGCTTTTATTTTCTTTTACTAGACTTCATTACAAAAGTCTCTTGTTTTATTGCCATTACCTTTCTAGGCTGGTCTATATTTGGGTTCTGGCCAAAGATGAAAGTTGTATGCAAACATCCAATGGGCAATACAAAAATCATTTTCAAGATAGCCTTTTGGGAAATGTTATTTGCTTTCCAATTAGAGTCTGTTATTTCATGACTATTGTCACCGAAACAAAAATAATATTCTTAACTAATCATTCAGTGCATTTGAAGAGCAGTGTTATTTATTATTTTTAAATTTTTCTCATGTCTGAAATAATCTTACTTTTTTTGGTCAACATAAATCAAGTCAATGTTCTGTGGCTTGGGCATAGGCATGGTAGGCATGAATAGGCGTGCTTCACACCTACCCAGAGAAACACAGGAGAAAGGTCTGGTACATGATGTAGGTTTCTAGAAAGGGAAGAGTCACAATGGATGAGTCCCTCCATCTTCGAACTACAGATATGAAGTGAAGTGAAATTACTTGCCCGAGGTCATAAATATACCCAATGACAATATTGGCAGAAGCATCATGTCTACAGATCCCAAAGTATTGTTTCTTCAAACAGTATCTTGGTGTGACACTGGAAAGAATTGCAAGGGAGATGGCACGGGTGGATCACATCAATCTTGACTTGAGTCTCTACTTACCTGATAGTTGGCTCCACTGAGAAATACAAAAAGAGTGGTACTTGTTTTAGTATAAAAATAGTATGAAGTGCAATTACTAAATGGGCTAATTTTTTCTCATTATCAAGGTTTTTTACTATTTAAGAATCACAGGAAGAAGGAAAAATGTGCATTAACTTTTATAAAATCAGTGGTAGTAACTTATCAAAAAGCTACTTCATTAGTACTTCAGTAAGTAGAGTACTTCATTTAGCATTACTCCATTAGATAATATATAAAAAACAAGGCAAGCTTAGTAAACCATCTGGGTTGAAAGTTGTAAGAAAAAGAGACATGGTTGGAAGCTTGAATAAATGAAAATATTTTTACTACAAGCATCTGATTTCTGCATGCATGGTGGCAGGCAAGTAATTTCTTGGCTGATGCCTAAATCATATTTTTGAATTGAAAATGAAATATCTGGCATTTAAAGGAAGTCTTAAAAATGCAACACATAGATAAGTCTACTTAAAATACAGAACTGAGAACATTGGTTGAGTTATGAAAAATCTATGCTTGGAGACTACCATGATCCATGTCTCTGCCTGGAACCCTCTACTCACCCGTAATGTATTTCTCTAGGAGACTTCTTTTTAAGTGATTGTTTAATGAGTGGTAATCATATGATGAATGCTCCAGGTATTATACTAGGTGATTTACACAGATTATTACATTTAAATCTCAAAACAACTCTGTGAGGAAAGGTTAAGTAATCCAGTAAAAAGTCCCCCAGCTAGTAAGTGGCTAGCTGAAGATTTGAGGAGTCACGATTTGAATGCAGGCCTTCTTATCTCAGGTCTGAGTTGATATAATAATAATGCTTTCCATGGTGGGATGGAGAGTTAGGAACTTTACCCACCTTTAGACAAATAGGATGCCGTGTCTTAAAGAAGGGATTTCTATTCTGGAGAGAAGACAATCTGGGAGCTCTTAATTGGACTACAAATTCCTTAAAGGTAGAAATATACTCACTATTATATTCCCAGCATCAAATAGGCATACAATAAATACTTGTTGAATTTATGAGAGTCTGGCAAATTTGCCACCCTTTTAAAAAGAATAGTCTATAACAGAAGTTTAATTCTAAGGAATTTCCAATAGGGGCAAAAAAGTGGAGTGGAGGGGAGTTGTCACATAATTATAAGGAAACATAACTATCCCATATTTGAGTGTGCCTACATGTGAAAGACTGATCAATCATAAGCAGATGGGTTAAATCTTAAAAAGAATATAGGATACGACCCAGAACATTAAAGCATTACTATAATAGCCATAAACATTGGAAGAGATTCTCTAATCAGCCTACCTTAATATGGTGGTTTGGAAGAAATATCTCAGGGAACAAAGAGAAAGACCATCAGAAAAGAGTGTGGTTGGTGACGGAAGCACAGTGCCCTCACCAGAGGTGCTATGAAAATGATTAACGCTGTGTAAAGTACATCATTCAAAAACTAGGTGCCACTGAAGAACAGTTGCTATGGCAACCGAAGTAATATAGAAGGGAGAGGCGAGGCCAAGGAAGAAGGAATGACATAAATTGAAAACCTAGGAAGTGCCAGGTTTCACAATGAGTTTCACAGTTAATATCTCAATTTATCTTTACAGCTCTATTTTACCTTCCTGTGATTGTGCTACCACTAAATATCCACAGGCTTCTTTTCTGTTCTGTAGAATGGGATCCTATTTCATCAGATTCTCTATTTTCTTGCTGAAAACAAGCAGGCACAGGAAAGAGATGTCACTTTGAAACAGAAGAGGTTAATAAAGCGACTACAAAAGGGTAGAGGAACATCATAAAATACTTGTGCAGTCCTATGGGCTTGGCCACAGCCGGGAGCCACTGTCATTCCTAGGCCTAAAGAGGCAAGGAAACGAACAGTTACAAGAAGGTGGAGAGAGGCTCTGTGGGGAAAGATGCCTGAGAAGAACAGGATCTTTCAGTAGAGATAGCCAAAACAGGCGGAAGGTAGCTGAGGGAATAGGAACCTGCACCTCCCTCTCCTCCAGCCTGCCAGACCTCCTCCCTGTGCCGTTCTTTATATAGCAGAACTTCTACCTCCACAGGCTTTTCTGGGTTAAAATGTCCAAGTGTCTGCAGGGTTTTTATTACAGCCTGGACTTGCTGCAAAGCCTTTTCTTGATGTGGGACCCATTCCACACTGACAATTTAAACCTGCTATATTTTGCTCCAAAATTCAAAAATGCCCTCCAAGCAATCTGCCTTTCTTTGTGGTAGGTGAGCAGATATCTCACTTTCAAAGCAATATTCTGATATTTCCCAAATCACTGGATTCTTAAGAATCTATACCAATGTGGCAAACCTCTGAAACTTCACAGGGTTTAGTTGCTATCCTCTTATGTGCATGGGTCTTACTAGTCCTGATCCCCAGACTCATTAGTATAACAGCATCAGCATAATAAACAAGCTAGTGTGATATTCTGTGGTATATAAAGACTATAAAGGACTAAATTATGACACTGGGCAGGAGAGTTGACTTTGTCCTGAAGCAATGTGGTAAAGATATACTTTTGTATCTATGAAACTGCTTCTAATTTTCCTTGACTGATTTTTAATCAGCTAAGTCAACAGCTGTATTCTAGCTGCTGAAGACTGTAGTGATTTTTCCTCATCTGGAGCTGCAGGTTAAAACATAACTCAGTCATTATCCAAGACCTATCAAACTTATGCACCAGCCAAACAAGCTATTTAGATGAACACGTGGTATGAATCAACTTCCCCTATATTTAAAAGATTGTTTGTTGTGGAACTAATTTTTTCAATTCACCCAGGCATGTGGTGTCATTTTTGGGTTGCTATATTTTTCAGGGGGTAAAGGAGAAGGGGTAAGAAGAGGAGAAGCTTTACTAAAACCAAGGAGAATGGCTTTATGGAGAGGGCCACCTGGCAGAAGTTATGACCTTCAGGAAAGATGAAACCAACTCCCAGCAACCCAGCAGGGAGGGTCCTAAGGGAATCCATAAATACCCTAAACTCATCCTTTTCTATCATCACAACATCTGCTTGTGCTTCTCATTGGCCAAACCAACCAGAAGCCAGCGGGTGTGGCAGCTATTGGTGCATACCATACAGATCAGTCTCCCAGATGGAGCACAAGCAAAATGAAGAAGGATGGAGGGTATGGTGGGTAAGGTGGGAGGTTTTTTAATAAAAATAGCCAAAATATAAGCCTTTCACAATTTTAGTACATTACTACTAGTCTTTAGAGGGAAGTGATCAAAAGTGGTAAAATTATGAAGCTTATGGCATTTTACAAATTTATTTCAAACATGAGTCTTGGGCTACATTTACTGACTCCATTTTTACATGTAACTGGAAACTAAGTTGAACTTCTAGCCCCAATTTTTAATTCCTGTATTTGGGATCAACTCTTCCATCCCTCTAACTCTTCGTTTAGAGCTGGTCATTTGAACCTCTTCATACAGAATGGGTACTTTTTACATCATGTGGGCCTGAACGTGCAAAAAGGAAAAGAATGAGTTATAAAAAGGCTCTGATCTCCAAGGTCCTGTTGTCTCAACAAACTCTATTTCATTGAGCCTCTTTCCCATTACAAAACTGTTCATATCTGTAATTTTTCTCTCAAGTATTCACTAAGAATTGTTTCTGTTCTTTCTTTTGGTGGGATGAGAATATTTGGAAATGCTGATTGGAAGTACCATATGCCTATCTCTGCCCTTTCTTTAAAGGATCATGTTTGCTTAGTATTTTCTGTGTCACAGAATCAAATATTTACCCTCCCTGCAGCAGTAACGGCTGTTCTTAAAATCATTTACTTTCTTCTACAATAGAGTACTTCTGACTAATTTTTTCATGTCCAGAGATGTGTGCTTTACATTTATGTGTTGGAGGATGCTGGTACCAACCAAGTGGCTATGTGATGAATGTGTTGTTTTTTGGTCTCTTTGTTTAATCTCATGTTTCTGGGTGGGCCAGAGTTGAATTTTGAACTAATGAATTTTGAAATATCAAACTCATACATCTGGACTCTAACATGCAATTGTTTCACAATCACGAACAATCTGTAAATATTAAATTGGCTTGAGAGTCTAAGTATTTTAAGACACAATAAAGCAGTACCTCTTTAATTCCACATTTCAAATAGGGCCTCTCAACCAATCAAATGTATGCCTCACATTGAATTTTGAAGAGTGCAGGGAAATTGCCATTCCAGAAAAACAGATAGTCCTAAGGTAGGTAAGAATTCCCATTCTTTTCTGAACTTATAGACGATAAAGTTTAGCAACTAAATAAAAATTTAAAGGAAACATTTTAAAACTTAGATTATTTATTTCCTCCTCAATTGGTTCAGGGAATTTAAGCTATAAAAAAAATAGAATAAAATCACCCGTGATAAACATCTGGTTGAGTTTTGCTAGTTATTTGTATTTTAAGCATTCCAGCTTTCACTATTTGAATGAATGGAATTGAAGTGGGATAATTGTTACTGTTCATAACTCTGAACTTTCAAAAGAGAACATAGCATTGTTTTTGAAACCTTAGTAATGTGGGAAATTGTTTGTCATTCAATTAACTTGCTCATTTTTGGTGAACATTGCATGCCCCAGCAGAAGTGGTGTGGTTTAATGGGTGGATTTTCTAGCTATCAGAGTCTCTAACTCTCTACTCAACGATAACCAGGGTGAAAGTGTCTGTTAGAACATAGGTCTCTTGTCCAGCTAGAGACCCTTTAAAGAAAGGAATCTGGGGAAAGTCTGGCAGAATTGTAAATAAAACATATGGTTTAGTTATACCAGAGTGGGTGCCCACAGAAACGAAATGCTTGATAATAAGCATTCCACTTATTTCTAAGTGGAGAAGAATATTCTTGTTTGATTTTATTACATAAGAATTTTGTTTTAGCAAAATATAGAACAGATGGAAAAATTCAATTGCCATTGGTAGCAGTTTTTGCCTGTTTCATGTGCAAAATAAATATGAAGATAATTAAGATAATTTCTAAATTACCACTAATTTACATGTTTTAGTGAAAATGGGCTGGTGTATTGTTCCTTAGATAATAGAGATTTAAAAAACGTTTCTTATGGCAAATTTTAACTGTATAAAACAGTAAAGAGAATAGTATAATGAAATCCCATTACCCACTATCAAATTTAAACAATCTGAATCACAGAAGTAACTTTTTTCTATCATAATTTCACAGAACTTGAGAAACATTGGGCCTCAAAGAGATCAGCCTGGTAACAATAACAGTATTTTGCAGATGTGGCGGTTGAGGGCTAACAAAATTGAGGGAGCTGACCAAAGTCACTCAGTAGCAAAGCCAGAAGTAGAAACCCTGTCTTCCAGTTGACAGCTTAGCAGCATAAAATATGCAAACTTTATTTTTGATTTTCAGTTTTTTAAACTGGAAAGTGAAACTAATAATCATAATTTACAGTGTTGCTTTGAGTGGAAGCCATGTAAAGAGGCTAGGTCCTTTTCTGGAAAGTAATAGGTCATCCAAAACATAGATCCCTTTCTTTCCTTCCTCACTTATCTCTAGCATCTGTAACCACACATGGTAAAAACCACTCTGTTCAGCCTGGGAGGCCACCCTGAAACAGAAACTTCAGCCCTGGGTGAAAAGCCTCTATCAGAAACCACAGAGGTTAGGAGGGAAGGTGGGAAAGCACAAATACCTAAGCTCAGAAAAGAAGGCGAAAATGTTAACAGTTGGCCTTCTGTCCAGAGAGGCAATGGAGTGGACAGTGTACAGCCAAATCCCCAAATCAGGCAGCTATTAATATATGAGCTAGACATCCCACAAGTCACACTTAGGACTGGGGCACTGTTCTGGTTTGTCTTAGGGATCTGGATCTCTGGATTATGAGTAGAGCAGAGCTGATGAGGTGAGTGACAAATACTGAAAGGGAATTCATATGTAAGCACATTAAGGAGAGAAACGAGAGGCAGAGGCTAAGATCAAGATCAGAGATCAATTTTGCCCCGATGTTTGTTTCTTAAATGCCAACTAAAATAATTTTGGAATTTAATTTATTGCCTCTTTGTTTATGCATGAATTCTTTATGTAGATGTCAGGTAATAGTGTAACATCTTAGCAATTTGTGAACATATGGAAACCAATGACTCTGTGTTCTTGGAATCTCTGCTGAGATTTTTATCTTGTAGCATGGACAAAGATCCCAATCAATGGGCATTGCCTGCAGCTGTTACATGCATGTAACAATCTACTTTTATTCAAGCGTACTGGAATCATTTGTCCACTGACTTCCTTTGAAGAGTGAAATGAAATAATAAGTTATAGTTAATGTTTCTGTTATTAAAAACTCTGCCTTTTAATGTATTAACTTTTTTTTCTTATTAAAGTGCTTATTAAGTAATAATCTCTTTGGCCTGGCTTACATGGTCAGATTGTCTGATATTATGAGCTTTGGTCACTTTCGAATTCCACAAATAAATACCATAACATTTTTGTACAATATCACTTAATAAATCAAAATAACTTAAAATCTAGCCAATTATTGTTACTGTTTTTTTCCTTCTTAACACATGTGTGTTTTATCAAATCTCAAATCCTGTTATAGATAAAGAATGCTGGTCGGGCATGGTGGCTCACGCCTGTAATCCCAGCACTTTGGGAAGCTGAGGTGGGCAGATCACCTGAAGTCAGGAGTTCGAGACCAGCCTGGCCAACATGGCAAAACCCCATCTCTACTAAAAAGTACAAAAACTAGACAGGCGTTGTGGTGGGCACCTGTAATCCCAGCTACTCAGGAAGCTGAGGCAGGAGAATAGCTTGAACCTGGGAGGA
Organism: Homo sapiens; assembly: GCF_000001405.40. NCBI lineage: Eukaryota > Metazoa > Chordata > Mammalia > Primates > Hominidae > Homo > Homo sapiens. The sequence goes on from NC_000004.12 coordinate 114,041,964, forward strand.
AGAGGTTGCAGTGAGCTGAAATGGCACCACTGCGCTCCAGCCTGGGCAACAAGAGTGAGACTCCACCTCAAAAAAAAAAAAAAAAGTGCTGAATTTAGGCTTCTCTTTTGTCAGTTGGCAGAGAACATCTTACTATTAATGTAATTTGTTATTTAGAAATTCAAACTGGCATATAAGAAACATCTCACTCAAAATTGAGTCTTCTGCAGTTTAGAAATAATTTAAATGAAGCAACAATATTTTATAACAATCGAAGTACCTAAAGTAAGACTTGAACACTTACCAAAGAAAATAATTTTTTTTTGTCTTTCTATAGTTCAGTAGTTCAAAAAATACATAAAGCAAGCAGCAATCATTAACATATACTTCTGGCATTGTTTTTGTGATTAGCCCACTTTAACAGTAACTTTAGGGAATGGCTAACTTTAGGGAATGGCTAACAGTAACTTTAGTGAATGGCTCACAAGGTGTTAAGTTTGATTGAGAAAGAGCAATGCATGGATGAGATGTGGATTCTAACAGGGTAGGTTGGTTGTATACACTGCTTGGTGAGATCTGATAGAGGAGTGGGGAAGCCATGGAGAAACGTAAGTGGACGGAGGTAGGAAGTTAAGACCTAGAATAGGAAGTGCATGTATGGTACACAGATAGACTTCACTTACCTCACATCTTTGACTTTGGCTGATCTCATTAGGATCGTATTATTTTACAAAACAAGTTCCATGACTTCCTCTGTAACTCAATTTGCCATTCAACAATTCTTATAATCAAGACATTATTTTAATGCTTAATCAGACCTCATTCTTCTGTAAACTTAAATACTTTGCCATTTGCCCTAACCTTAGAGGAACTGACGAGGCACACATTGTCACACTTAAAAACTTGGCTTTGTGTTTGTTTGATCAAATAGGTCCATTTTTCTTATTTAAATTCATAGAAAGATTAAATTAAATAAATATTTTTTTGGCTACTGAGTGTTTTCAGATCCTAGTAATTATTGGTCTCCATTCTCATGCTACTTTAAGGACATACCCAAGACGGGGTAATTTATAAAGGAAAGAAGTTTAATTGACTCACAGTTCTGCTGGGCTTGGGAGGCCTCAGGAAACTTACAATCATGGTGGAAGGGGAAGCAAACATGTCTTTCTTCACATGGTGTCAGGAAGAAGAATGAGCAAAAGGGGGAAAGCCCCTTATAAAACTATTAAATCTTGTGAGAACTAACTCATTATCATAAGAACAGGCTGGGATAAACTTCCCACATGATTCATATCTCCACCTGTTCCCTCCCAGGACACATAGGGATTATGGGAACTACAACTCAAGATGAGATTTGGGTGGGTCACAGCCAAACCATATCAGGTGTTAAGGACAGAAGGCTAATTACATCACTATTTCTGTTTATTTTACAGCTTTGTTTCCAAGACAGGATGTTATTCATTCAAGTATAGTACACCAAAAAGGAAGGATGGTTCCATCTGTGAAAATATGATAATATGAGCTTTTACTGAACTAGGACTGATGAGTAAATGGAGATAACTATATGTGTTACTTATAAATACTATATATTCTAGGTTTTGCAAGCAGGTTGATTTTTCTCTGCCTTAACTTTTGCAGGTAACCCAGTAATCATTTGATGAGTTAAAGCATTTTCAAAAAGAATAGTTTTTAAAAAATCACACTGTGTTCCACTCCTATATGTCATCCCTTATCTTTGTTATTTTTTTTTAAACAGGTCCCAAATACTTACCAGCCATTTCTGCATTCCCCAATTTAGCACTGATGCATTTGACCTATTGAGAATTGGTACACTGAAATATATAATGGTAGACTGCATATTATGTTTAAATATCTTGATTATTTAAAAACTTAGCTTTGCAAATATGCTTAAGAAAACTACTATATTTTTACATTAATGCATTTCTAAATGTGTAATATTTCTACAGAACAACTAATAGACTTGTAAAGATATCATTATTATCTACATCTGTCTCTTTCTCTGTGTGTGCAAATATCTATAAACAAACATGTAATAAAACATGCTAAAACATTAGTATTCTAAATATATTATTATATAGAAAAAGAAAGTATGCATTATACAAAATGTATTAAATGTTTGAAACGCATTTTAATCTACATGTGAATTCCGTAAACTCAAAGGTTAAAGGAACTTCACAGCTTAGTGGAGTCCATTCTGGTCTTTTTTTGCCTAATAAGTAAAGAGTATTGTTTCTATGGAAACTGCATTTAGAAAAAATAATAACTATTATTCCAAGTATTTAAATATCCATGATAAATTCAGTAGAATAATTTACTCTTTAGTGATAGAAATGCTTAAACATTTAGAATATATTGTACATTCTGATCAACGTACATATTTTACAGTTTAAAACTAAATTTCAAGAAGTTTCTTTTGGGCAACCCCCTTTGGGTCCCCTCCCTTTGTATGGGAGCTCTGTTTTCACTCTATTCAATCTTGCAACTGCACTCTTCTGGTCCGTGTTTGTTACGGCTCGAGCTGAGCTTTCTCCCGCCGTCCACCACTGCTGCTGGCTACCGTAGCAGACCCACCGCTGACTTCCATCCCTCCGGATCCAGCAGGGTGTCCGCTGTGCTCCTGATCCAGCGAGGCGCCCATTGCTGCTCCTGATCAGGCTAGAGGCTTGCCATTGTGCCTGCATGATTAAGTGCTCAGGTTCGTCCTAATTGAGCTGAACACTAGTCACTGGGTTCCACGGTTCTCTTCCATGACCCACAGCTTCTAATAGAGCTATAACACTCACCGCATGGCCCCAGATTCCATTCCTTGGAATCCGTGAGGCCAAGAACCCCAGGTTAGAGAATGCGAGGCTTGCCACCATCTTGGAAAGGGCCCACCACCATGTTGGAAGCGGCCTGCCACCATCTTGGGAGCTCTGGGAGCAAGGACCCCCCGGTAACATTTTGGCAACCATGAAGGGACCTCCAAAGTGGTGAGTAATATTGGACCGCTTTCGCTTGCTGTTCTGTCTTATCCTTCCTTAGAATTGGAGGAAAATACCAGGCACCTGTCGGCCAGTTAAAAACAATTAGCATGGCCACAGGACTTAAGACTCAGGTGTGAGGCTATCTGGGGAAGGGCTTTCTGACAACCCCCAATCCTTCTGGGTTGGGGATGGATGTCTACCTCAAGCCAGCTTCCACTTTCAGTTTTCTTGGGGAAGCCCAGGGCCGACTAGAGGCAGAAAGCTGTCGTCCCGAACTCCCGGCAGTAGCTGGTTGAGATCATGGTGCAGCCAGAAGTCTCTACTCAACAGTCGCCCATGCGTGCGCCCCTACCTTTCCTTCTGACCCATACCTCCTGGGTCCTGACCACGAATTTCTTGAAAGTGTAGCCCCAAAATTCTCCTTACCTCTGAATCTACTTCCTCTGATCCCTGCCTCCTAGGTACTAATGGTCCAGACTTTTATTTCCTTTAGCAAGTTATATCTCCAAAGGGATCTAAGGAAGCTCTACGCTGCATCCTTAGGCATCTAGGCTATAAACCCAGGGAGTCTTATCCCTGGTATCCCTCCCGATTTAGGTATACAGCTCTCAACATGGGCAGTTATGTGGGACCCATTCCCCACCACCCTTGCCGGGGCCCCGAGTTTGTAATGGCTAAGAGGAGGAGAGAGAGAGACGGAGGAGAGAGAGACAGAGGAGAGACAGAGAGAGACAGAGGAGAGACAGAGAGAGACAGAGGAGAGACAGAGAGAGACAGAGGAGAGACAGAGAGAGACAGAGGAGAGAGAGAGAGATGGAGGAGAGAGAGAGAGGGAGACGAAGGGGAGAGACAGAGAGACAGAGTCAAAGAAAAAAGAGAAAGATAGAAATAGTAAACAAAAACAAAAACAAAAACAAAAAACAGTGTGCCCTATTCCTTTAAAAGCCAGGGTAAATTTAAAACCTATAATTGATAATTGAAGGTATTCTCCGTGACCCTATAACACTCCAATACCACTTTGTTGTCAGTGTAAATAAGGGCGTAGCCCGAAAGCACTGAGGCCACTGACAACCGGTAGCCTTCCTATCAAAAATCCTTAACCCAGGAACCTGCGGGTGGCCCAAATGCATTCAATCTGTAGCGGCACCTGCTTTGCTAACAGAAGAAAGTAGAAAATTAGGCTTTAGAGGAAACCTCATTGTGAGCACACCTCACCGGTTCAGAACTATCCTAAGTCAAAAAAGCAAAAAGGTAGCTTACTCAAAAATCTTAAAGTATGGGGCTATTCTGTTAAAAAAAAAAAGGTAATTTAACAACAACCACTGATAATTCCCTTAACCCAGCAGATTTCCTAACAGGGGATTTAAATCTTAATTACCATACAAAGGTCCGACCAGACCTAGGAGGAATTCCCTTCAGGACAGGAAGACAGATGGTTCCTCCCAGGTGATTGAGGAAAAAACCACAATGGTTTTCAATTCAATAATTGATACGGAGACTCCTGTGGAAGCAGAGTTAGAAAAATCACCTAATAATTGGTCTTCTCAAACATGCGAGCTGTTTGCACTCAGCCAAGCCTTCCAGAATCAAAAGACTATCTCAACCCTGACTCAAAAGGTTACCTACGCCCTCTCTGAAATGAATTTGCATAATAACTGCTTTTATGGGAATGCATCTTGTTGGGGCAGCTGGGTTGTTATGAAATACTCAGGAACCCAGCCCAACTCTAGGACTCACCCCTGAGCACAAAGGCAATGTTGGGCACACTGGAAAAGGACCACTAGAATCCAGCAGCCTGGACCCCTTTTTTTGTGGTGAAGAAGGGCGGGAAAAGAGGTTCAGGACTGCTACATCGGTGAGCATAACTAATCCGATAAGAAGAGGTCCATGGGTGGTTACACACCTTGGAAAGGAACTCACCTCTGAGCGCAAAGGCAATGTTGGGCACTCTGGTAAATGACCACTAGAATCCAGCAGCCCAGGCCCCTTTCTTTGTGGTCAAGAAAGGCAGGAAAAGGGGTGCAGGACTGCTACATCGGTGAGCATAACTAATCTGATAAGCAGAGGTCCATGGGTGGTTGCGCATTTTGGAAAAGAATAAGCATTAGGCCCTTAGAGGATGCTCTAGGACTAATGCTCATTGGAAGATGACTAGGGGTGCTGGCATCCCTATGTTCTTTTTTCAGATGGGAAATGTTCCCCCGCCCCCCAGGCAAAAAATGCCCCTAAGATGTATTCTGGAGAATTGGGACCAATTTGACCCTCAGACACTAAGAAAGAAACAACTTATATTCTTCTGCAGTACTGCCTGGCCATGACATCCTCTTCAAGGGGGAGAAACCTGGCCTCCTGAGGGAAGTATAAATTATAACACCATTTTACAGCTAGACCTCTTTTGTAGAAAAGAAAGCAAATGGAGTGAAGTGCCATATGTACAAACTTTCTTTTCATTAAGAGACAACTCACAATTATGTAAAAAGTGTGATTTATGCCCTACAGGAAGCCCTCAGAGTCTACCTCCCTACCCCAGCATCCCCCTGACTCCTTCTCCAACTAATAAGGACCCCCCTTCAACCCAAACAGTCCAAAAGGAGATAAACAAAGGGGTAAACAATGAACCAAAGAGTGCCAATATTCTGCGATTATGCCCCCTCCAAGCAGTGGGAGGAGGAGAACTTGGCCCAGCCAGAGTGCATGTACCTTTTTCTCTCTCAGACTTAAAGCAAACTAAAATAGACCTAGGTAAATTCTCAGATAACCCTGATGGCTATATTGATGTTTTACAAGGGTTAGGACAATCCTTTGATCTGACATGGAGAGATATAATGTTACTGCTAAATCAGACACTAACCCTGAATGAGAGAAGTGCCACCATAACTGCAGCCTGAGAGTTTGGCGATCTCTGGTATCTCAGTCAGGTCAATGATAGGATGACAAGAGAGGAAAGAGAATGATTCCCCACAGGCCGGCAGGCAGTTCCCAGTGTAGACCCTCATTGGGACACAGAATCAGAACATGGAGATTAGTGCTGCAGACATTTGCTAACTTGTGTGCTAGAAGGACTAAGGAAAACTAGGAAGAAGCCTGTGAATTATTCAATGATGTCCACTATAACACAGGGAAAGGAAGAAAATCCTACTGCCTTTCTGGAGAGACTAAGGGAGGCGTTGAGGAAGCATCCTTCCCTGTCACCTGACTTATTGAAGGCCAACTAATCTTAAAAGATAAGTTTATCACTCAGTCAGCTGCAGACATTAGAAAAAAACTTCAAAAGTCTGCCTTAGGCCTGGAGCAAAACTTAGAAACCCTATTGAACTTGGCAACCTCAGTTTTTTATAATAGAGATCAGGAGGAGCAGGTGGAATGGGACAAATGGAATTAAAAAAAGGCCACTGCTTTAGTCATAGCCCTCAGGCAAGTGGAATTTGGAGGCTCTGGAAAACGGAAAAGCTGGGCAAATCAAATGCCTAATAGGGCTTGCTTCCAGTGCAGTCTACAAGGACACTTTAAAAAAGATTGTCCAGGTAGAAATAAACCGCCCCCTCATCCGTGCCCCTTATGTCAAGGGAATCACTGGAAGGCCCACTGCCCCAGGGGATGAAGGTCCTCTGAGTCAGAAGCCACTAACCAGATGATCCAGCAGCAGGACTGAGGGTGCCCGGGGCAAGCACCAGCCCATGCCATCACCCTCACAGAGCCCCGGGTATGCTTGACCATTGAGGACCAGGAGGTTAACTGTCTCCTGGACACTGGCGCAGCCTTTTCAGTCTTACTTTCCTGTCCCAGACAACTGTCCTCCAGATCTGTCACTATCCGAGGGGTCCTAGGACAGCCAGTCACTAGATACTTCTCCCAGCCACTAAGTTGTGAGTGGGGAGCTTTCTCTTTTCACATGCTTTTCTAATTATGCTTGAAAGCCCCACTCCCTTGTTAGGGAGAGACATTCTAGCAAAAGCAGGGGCCATTATACACCTGAACATAGGAGAAGGAACACTCGTTTGTTGTCCCCTGCTTGAGGAAGGAATTAATCCTGAAGTCTGGGCAACAGAAGGACAATATGGACCAGCAAAGAATGCCCATCCTGTTCAAGTTAAACTAAAGGATTCCACCTCCTTTCCCTACCAAAGGCAGTACCCCCTTAGACCCGAGGCCCAACAAGGACCCCAAAAGATTGTTAAGGACCTAAAAGCTCAAGGCCTAGTAAAACCATGCAATAGCCCCTGCAATACTCCAATTTTAGGAATACAGAAACCCAATGGACAGTGGAGGTTAGTGAAAGATCTCAGGATTATCAATGAGGCTGTTTTCCCTCTATACCCAGCTGTACCTAACCCTTACACTGTGCTTTCTCAAATACCAGAGGAAGCAGAGCGGTTTAGAGTCCTGGACCTTAAGGATGCCTTTTTCTGCTTCCCTATACATCCTGACTCTCAATTCTTGTTTGCCTTTGAAGATCCTTTGAACCCAACGTCTCAACTTACCTGGACTGTTTTACCTAAGGGTTCAGGGATAGCCCCCATCTATTTGGCCAGGCATTAGCCCAAGACTTGAACCAATTATCATACCTGGACACTCTTGTCCTTTGGTACGTGGATAATTTACTTTTATCCACCCGTTCAGAAACCTTGTGCCATCAAGCCATCCAAGCACTCTTAAATTTCCTCGCTACCTGTGGCTACGAGATTTCCAAACCAAAGGCTCAGCTCTGCTCACAGCAGGTTAAATACTTAGGGCTAAAATTATCCAAAGGCACCAGGGCCCTCAGTGAGGAATGTATCAAGCCTATACTGGCTTATCCTCATCCCAAAACCCTAAAGCAACTAAGAGGGTTCCTTGGCATAACAGGTTTCTGCCGAATATGGATTCCCACGTACGGCAAAATAGCCAGGTCATTATATACACTAATTAAGGAAACTCAGAAAGCCAATACCTATTTAGTAAGATGGACACCTGAAGCAGAAGCAGCTTTCCAGGCCCTAAAGAGGGCCCTAACCCAAGACCCAGTGTTAAGCTTGCCAACAGGGCAAGACTTTTCTTTATATGTCACAGAAAAAACAGGAATAGCTCTAGGAGTCCTTACACAAGTCTGAGGGACAAGCTTGCAACCTGTGGCATACCTGAGTAAGCAAATTGATGTAGTGGCAAAGGGTTGGCCTCATTGTTTACGGGTAGTGGTGGCAGTAGCAGTCTTAGTATCTGAAGCAGTTAAAATAATACAGGGAAGAGATCTCACTGTGTGGACATCTCATGATGTGAATGGCATACTCACTGCTAAAGGAGACTTGTGGCTGTCAGACAACAGTTTACTTAAATATCAGGCTGTATTACTTGAAGGGCCAGTGCTGTGACTGTGCACTTGTGCAACTCTTAACCCAGCCACATTTCTTTCAGACAATGAAGAAAAGATAGAACATAACTGTCAACAAGTAATTGCTCAAACATACCCTGCTCAAGGGAACCTTTTAGAGGTTCCCTTGACTGATCCCAACCTCAACTTGTATAGTGATGGAAATTCCTTCGTAGGAAAAGGACTTTGAAAAGTGGGGTATGCGGTGGTCAGTGATAATGGAATACTTGAAAGTAATCCCCTCACTTCAGGAACTAGTGCTTAGCTGGCAGAACTAATAGCCCTCACTCGGGCACTAGAATTAGGATAAGGAAAAAGGGTATATATATACACACTCTAAGTATGCTTACCTAGTCCTCCATGCCCATACAGCAATATGGAGAGAAAGGGAATTCCTGACTTCTGAGGGAACACCTATCAAACATCAGGAAGCCTTTAGGAAATTGTTATTGGCTGTACAGAAACCTAAAGAGGTGGCAGTCATATACTGCCAGGGTCATCAGAAAGGAAAGGGAAATAGAAGGGAGCAGCCAAGTGGATATTGAAGCCAGGAGAACTGCAAGGCAGGACCCTCCATAAGAAATTCTTATAGAAGGACCTCTAGTATGGGGTAATCCTCTCCGGGAAACCAAGCCCCAGTACTCAGCAGGAGAAATAGAATAGGGAACCTCATGAGGACATACTTTCCTACCCTCAGGATGGCTAGCTACCGAAGAAAGAAAAATACTTTTGCCTGCAGCTAACCAATAGAAATTACTTAAAACCCTTCACCAAACCTTCGACTTAGCCATTGATAGCACCCATCAGATGGCCAAATTATTATTTACTGGACCAGGCCTTTTCAAAACTGTCAAGCAGATAGTCAGAGCTTGTAAAGTGTGCCAAAGGAATAATCCCCTGCACTGCAGGCCATACATTTCAATCCCTGTATCTTTAACCTCCTTGTTAAGTTTGTCTCTTCCAGAATCAAAGCTGTAAAACTACAAATCATTCTTCAAATGGAGCCCCAGATGCAGTCCATGACTAAGATCTACCATGAACCCCTGGACCAGCCTGCTAGCCCATGCTCCGATGTCAATGACATCGAAGGCACCCCTCCCAAGGAAATCTCAACTGCACAACCCCTACTATGCCCCAATGCAGCAAGAAGCAGTTAGAGCGGTCATTGGCCAACCTCCCCAACAGCACTTGGGTTTTCCTGTTGAGGGGGGGACTGAGAGACAGGACTGGCTGGATTTCCTAGGCCAACTAAGAATCCATAAGCCTAGCTGGGAAGGTGACCGCTTCCACCTTTAAACACGGGGCTTGCAACTTAGCTCACACCCAACCAATCAGATAGTAAAGAGAGCTCACTAAAACGCTAATTAGGCAAAAACAGGAGGTAAAGAAATAGCCAATCATCTATCGCCTGAGAGCACAGTGGGAGGGACAATGATTGGGATATAAACCCAGGCATTTGAGCCAGCAACAGCAACCCCCTTTCGGTCCCCTCACATTGTATGGGAGCTCTGTTTTCACTCTATTAAATCTTGCAACTGCAAAAAAAAAAAAAAAAAAAAAAAAGTTTCTTTTGTTATTAAAATGAATGGTAAACCCAGTGCTCCTCCAAAGATCAATATATTAGTTTTTTAAAAAAATATTTGAACAACTGTGTAAAACATTTGGTAGTGCCTTTTGGAATAAAAGAGTACCATTCATCAAAATTGGCTGTGTGGTAACGCCATGAAAGAAACAAAACTATATTACCACAAAAATAGGGGTAATAATGGATAAAACAATTTATTGTTAGAATAATTTCTACATGTAATTTTTAACGGATTAGGTATACATAGTTGTTTTTTATGTAATTAAATATTCTAAAATTTGGTTTTTCATTTAGTCAGACATTATCTGGCCAGTGAACCACTAAATTAATATGACCCATTACATTCATGATATGCCACAGGAAATATTGACTCAATTTTAGCATCTTCTATGGCACTTAATGGAAAATACTGTAACTGTCTCCTTCAAAGTCAGTGCAATGCATCTTGGCAGCACTGCCCAGAGCTTTTTATAGATCAGGTTACTCTCTTACACAGTAGAATGATTATGTTCTCATGTATATTTGGATTCCCCATGGCTGTGCACCACCCTTGTAGAGAGAGGCTCTGGAGGGCGGCAGTGGCAATATTTTCTTCGGAAGGTAATGCTTGATCTCCAAGCCACCTCTAGATATTACAGAGTCAAGAGGGTGTGGTTGGCTGGCTGACAAACAAGAAGAGGCTCATTAACCAAAAGTGGAAGGAGACTTTCTTGCTTGCGTTTTCCACCAGCTTTGACTTTTAAGAACACACTTTCGTATTACCTTCGTTCAAAGCCTTTAAGATATATAAACAATAAATATATCTGGCATCCCTATTACCTCCTTATCCACTTTCTACTTTTTTATTCCTTTTTCTCATTTATTAATAATGGGTTGGGTTGGAAGAAGGGGCTGTACCAAATTCTGTGTAGTATTATCCCACTCAAAATTGACATGGAGTGGGATCAGTAGAGCTTATGAGTTAAAAGGCCTCAAGCAAACCTGTACATTGAGGCAAGAGACTCAGTGTGAAAGCCTAAAATTTGCATAGGGCAACAATCCTTTGACCTAAAATGTATCATCTATTTTTGCTGAAATAATTCTTAATGAACCACATGAGTTAGCAAGGTGCTGTACCAAAACAAAAATAAACACATCAAAAAGGATTTTTTAACCACTGTTTTTCAAGACTTACACTGTAAAATATTTAAGGGAAATTTAAAGGTTCACTTGATTTCTGGGTTGCAAGTTTTATTTTCTAGGTCTGTGCCCACTGATAATTTAAAGTGGGATAGTTAGGTCCTGTCTGTTGCTATTTGCACTTCTAATGTTAAAATAGATATGACATAAAAACATATTTCTGGTACTTTAATTTATTCAAAGAAAGTAAATTATAAACACTGTATTAAAAAGATATGTTTGTATTAGAAGATATTGAAAAACATTGGCATTCTTCATAGAACTAAAGAAAACTATTTTAAAATTCATATGGAACCAAAAAAGAGCCTGAATAGCCAAGGCAATCCTAAGCAAAAAGAACAAAGCTGGAGGAATCACACAACCTAACTTCAAACTATGCTACAGGGCTACAGTAACCAAAACAGCATGATATTGGTACAAACACAGACACGTGGACCAATAGAACAGAATAGAGAACCTAGAAATAAGACTAAACACCTACAACTATCTGATCTTTGACAAAGGTGACAAAAGCAAGCAATGGGGAAAGTATTCGCTGTTCAATAAATGGTGCTGGGATAATTGGCTAGCCATATGCAGAAGATTGAAACTGGACCCCTTCCCTACATCACATACAAAAACTAACTCAATATGTATTAAAGACTTAAATGTAAAACCCCAAAGTGTAAAAACTCTGGAAGACAACTCTGGCAATACCATTCAGGACATAGGTATGGGCAAAGATTCCCTAATGATGACACCAAAAGCAATTGCAACAAAAGCAAAAATTGATGAAGGGGATCTAAGTAAACTACACAGCTTTTGCACAGCAAAAGAAACAGACAGCCTACAAAATGGGAGAAAATATTTGCAAACTATGCATGTGACAAAGGTCTAATATCCAGAATCTCAAAGGAACAAATTTACAAGAAAAATACAAATAGCCCTGTAAAAAGATGGGCAAAAAACATAAATAGACACTTTTCAAAAGACATGATTGAGGCCAACAATTATATAAAAAACAAAGCTCAATATCACTGTTCATTAGAGAAATAAAAATCAAAACCACAATGAGATACCATCTCACAGCAGTTATAAAGGATGTTACTAAAAAGTCAAAAAATAACAGATGCTGGCCATCTTGTGGAGAAAAAGGAACACTTATACATTAGTGGGAATATAAATTAGTTCAACTATTTTGAAAGACAGGGTAGCAATTTCTCAAAGACCAGAAAAACGAAATACTGTTTGACCCAGCAAATTCTATTACTGAATATATACCTAAAGGTATACAAAGCATTCTATTATAAAGACATATTCACACATATGTTCATTGAAGCACTATTCACAATAGGAAAGACATGGAATCAACCTAAGTGTCCATCAATGATAGATTGGATAAAGAAAATGTGTTACATATACACTATGGAATACTATGCAGCCATAAAAAAGAATGAGGTCATGTCTTTTGTGGGGACATGGATGGAGATGGAGGCCATCATCCTTAGCAAACTAACACAGGAACAGAAAACCAAATACTGCATATTTTCCCTTATAAGTGGAAGCTGAATGATGAGATCACATGGACACATAGAGGGGAATAACATACACTGGGGCCTTTTGGAAGGTGGAGGATGGGAGGAGGGAGAGGATCAGGGAAAATAACTAATGGATACTAGGCTTAATACCTGTGTGATGAAATAATCTGTATAACAACCCCCCACAACACAAGTTTACCTATGTAACAAATCTGCACTTGTACCTCTGAACTTAAGTTTAAAAAAAGAGAAAAATATACACAAGATTGCAGTAATTGTCCATGGTGCCTCAATCCAGGGGCAAAAACCATTATTTTTTCTTGGCTGAGATTATGTTTTATGTGTCCTTCTGCATCCTGCTTTTTCTAGTTAACCTTATATTGTAAGAATTTTTCTTATGCCATAATTTTCAAGTGTACTTAAAAGCTGAATAGTATTTCAATATATGTATGTTACCTTAACTCATTGAACCAATAATATATTATTGAATATTTAGATTGCTTCTGATTTGCTGGGTGTGGGGACTTACTACTATAAAAAATACATTAGAATGTAAAAACATACATGAGGCTGGATCTGTACTTTTGATCTCTTCTTGAACTTAGGACATAGACCAGGGACTCAATATCTACTTGTTAAATTGAAGAAGAATGAACACAAACTTGATTATTTCTAGATCTTGGTGGAATAGGATTTCTTCCTGTCACAATAAAATGAAAGAAGATAACATGAATTCATAGCAGCATTGGCGACTTGAAGGTGGTATTACTAATCGATCACAATAGTGCAGAATTTCTGTATAACAAAAGTTGATGGTAACCAATTGATGTTAAGACCCAACAAGGCTGAGAACACTTTTATCTATGTTCATCAGGGATACTGGGCTGTAGTTTTGTTTTTGTTTTTGTTTTTGTTTTTTTGTCATGTACTTACCTAGTTTTGGTGTCAGTATAGTGCTGCCTTCATAGAATGAATTAGAGTTCTCTCATTTTCACATTTTTGGAATAGTTTGAAGTGAATTGTTATTAGTTCTTTGTAAGTTTGATAGAATTTGGCAGTGAAGCCATTCGGTCATTGGCTTTCCTTTGTTGGGAGACTTTTTGTTACTTATTCATCAATCTTATTACTCATTATTGGTCTGTTTGGGTTTATATTTTTTCCTGACTGAGTCTTGGTAGGTTGTATGTGTCCAGGAATTTATCCATTTCCTCTAGGTTTTCCAGTTTGTTAGTATATAGTTGTTCATAATAGTCTCTGGTGGCCTTATACATTTCTGTGGTATCTGTCGTTATGTCTCTTTTTTGTTTTGATTTTGTTTATTTGGATCTTCTCTCTTTTTTTCTTGGTTTATCTAGCTAGCTGTTTATTAATTTTATTTATCTTTTCAAAAAACTTTATATTTGTTGATGCTTTGTATTTTTTAGTCTCTATTTCATTTAGTTCTGTTCTGATTTTTATTATTTCTCTTCTACTTAATTTTGGGCTTAGCTTGTTCTTGCTTTTCTATTTCCATTAGATGCATCATTAGATTGTTTATTTAAAATCTGTGTACTTCCTTGATGTAGGCATTTATTGCTATAATCCTCTTTCTTCACACTGCTGTTTCTGTATCCCATAGGTTTTGGTATTTTGTGTTTCCATTTTCATTTGTCTCAAGAATTTTTTTGATTGGCTTTTGAACTTCTTCCTTGATCCAGTGGTTGTTCAGGAGCATGTTGTTTAATTTCCATGCATTGATACAGTTTCTAAAGTTCATCTTTTTATTGATTTCTAGTTTTATTCCATTGTGGTCTGAGAAGATACTTGGTATGACTTTGATTTTTAAACATTTGTTGAGACTTGTTTTGTGCCCTAACATATGGTTTATTCTGGAGAATGTTCCATGTGCTGATAAGAACATGTATTCTGCAGCTGTTGGATAAAATGTTCTGTAGAGATGTCTGTTAGGTCCATATGGTCTAAAGTGAAGTTTCAATCCAATGTTTCTTTGTTGGTTTTCTGATTAGATGATCTGTCCAATGCTGAGAGTGGAGTGTCGAAGTCTCTAATTACAGGCAGCAGCAAAACAAGGGAGATTTTCCAGCCGACTTTTGGGACAATCCCAAGGTTAGAGACCATAAAACTGGAAAAAAGTAACTAAATAGGATGAAAGAGGCAAGTCAGTTTACTCTTCTAAGGATGTCTGATGCCTGCATTGGCACAAAGCTAAGAATAGCATATCGAAAGGAGACTCTGGCAGGAGGGTTTCTGCAGCACGTGTGGCACTAGAAAAATAGAAGTGCTCTAATGGAGTGGCTCTCATATTTGGCCACACACTGGAATAAACCGTGGAATTTGAAAAAAATAAACTCCACATCCCACCTCTCAAAATTCTGATTTAATAATTTGAGGATGGCCTGAGCATTGAAACTTTTTTTGTTTTAAACGGAGTCTTGCTCTGTCACCAGGCTGGAGTGCAGTGGTGCAGTCTTGGCTTACTGCAACCTCCACCTCCCGGGTTCAAGTGATTCTCCTGCCTCAGCCTCCCAAGTAGCTGGGACTACAGGTGTGTGCCACTACACCCAGCTAATTTTTTTGTATTTTTAGTAGAGACAGGGTTTCGCCATGTTAGCCAGGATAGTCTTGATCTCCTGACCTTGTGATCCACCCGCCTTAGCCTCCCTAAGTGCTGAGATTACAGGTATGAGCCACCATGCCCAGGTAATCTTTTTGTATTTTTAGTAGAGACTGGATTTCACTATGTTGGCCAGGATGGTCTCTATCTCTTGACCTTGGGATCTACCATGAAACTTTTAAGTTTGAGGATTACTGCTCTAAATAACTACTTTTGGTTTACCAAGAGGCCACCCTCAGAAACAACATGTCCACTTGGACTTCTCAAGTGCAATCACTGGAGGACTTCTATAATTAGATCTGTATTCATTTCCAGTCTCATACAACTGGGGTTATGAATTTAAGAAATATGTCTTAGCCACAAAAAGCATTCAAGTGTAGACCTTACTTATTTAATTGTTTTACAAAAACAAACAGAAAACTAAGAATTGTTGATGCTGACAGAGAACATATTTCAATGAACAGAGTTACTAAAGGAAACAGAATATATTAAAATAAGTCAAATTAACATCAGTAGAGAAGCATAACAGAATATCACATTCATAAAACAAGAAAAGAAACCAAAACTTGCTTTGAGGAAAGAATACTAAAATTTAAAATGTGATTGCTTCAATTAAAAATAAATCATCATTAGATAGATTTAGTACTAGGAGAATAAGCACAGGGAAAGACTGAATTAGTAACTCAGAAAAGCAAGCCTGGGCAAGTTACTAGTCTGTGCCACATGATAAAAAAGTGCAAAGTCTGGGAAAAGTATTCAGAAATGTGACGACTCGATCCAGAAGTTCCAGTGTTCATCTGGGAAAGGTTCCAAAGGTTCATCTGGTGTCAGGTAGGGTTAATAACAAGGCCCACAACCAAAGAGAGCTTGGTGAAGTTTCAGAATTCCAAATGAAGAGATAATACAAAAAGTAGTGAAAGAAGTATAGGTAACTTACAAAGAAATGGAAGCCAGATTAATATAAAGTGGGCTCAAAGTTTGAAATAAGAATTATTTTAAATGTGAAGTTTTTTATTTTGCCAAAAAATTCAAATATGATTTCAAAATAAAGATATTTTCATGTGAAGGACACATTTTGAACAGAAAGAAGAAATTTTCTATATTGGAAAATACAGCATATTACAAGAAAATATAAAAGATTTATCTTTATGCCTTTATCATAATTTTAAGCTTTATATACTATAAGAAATTCAGGAATTGGGCAAATCCACAATTGCATCAGGAGCTCTGAGCATATTCCCCTGGGCTGTGGTGTCCTTCCCATGCTTATATCTGCTTTCTGAATTTTAAAATTTATTTAATACAGCTTATCTATTTATTCCCCTACTCATCTTCAATTATCTTTACTATTACTGATTGTTTCTAATTTGAAAATTATTTTTCTGCCATATAATATATTTTCAAGAGGGATTAAATCTGTTATCTTGACCCAAAACTCAGAATCTTTAGACTCTTTAATCAAAATACCTGCATTTAACTCAAGTTGATCTGTGATTACTATCTGTCCAGGGTCCATATTCTCACTGCTCCTTGTATTTTTAAGCCACTGAACTGTCTGATTTCAATTTTTTGCTCTCAGAAGATGGTCATTATCTTTCTGCATAGCACAGCTCTCAGCACTCATTGCATTGATTTTTATCTTGGTAAATATTTTTTAATAGATAATCGTGCCCTTTTCTTACTCATAATGGAATTTCATAATATAAAAAGTAGATCCCATAGATTATTGCCAGACATCTTTCTATAAAACTGAGCATGCATTAATGCTATTGGCATTTTTTAGTGTAGAGGATATTGAATATCACAGTGAATGGGTAATGCTAGCTGTCACAAATATTTCTCAGCACTGAACTTTCTTTCACTTAAATGACCTAAGGAAATTCTAAGTTATATAATAAATGCTTTTATCTCCATTTTTATGTGAGGTGGAAGAATATTGGATTTTGCAAATAAATAAAATGAAAGATCAAAAATTATTTGGTTTTTATTTCATTCCATCAAAAATAAAGCCTTATGCAAGCACTGATTCACTAGGTTATTACAGAAATTTTTAATAAGATGTATATTATGAGAGCTTCCTCGTCAGTAGTAGGTATTGTCTCAGAAAGTCTTTAAGTTGTTCAAGTCTCTCTACCCGTATTAGCTATTATACAAATATAGAATGTTTATTGCAATTATCATGTGAGGTGATTTACCTAAAGCTTCACAACAGCCTTGTAATGATGGTACAATGATTATCCTTATCTTTCAGATGAGGAAACTGAAGATTAGAGAGATTAGGTAACAGAGATAGAATTTTAAACCCAGGGCTAGTTGTCTTTGTTGCCAGTGTGTTCTTCTGCCTCTTTTCAACTGAGTGTATTGCCTGTTTTACATGTCTAATTAGAAACCCCTCTCAGTGGGATCACTGTTGAAGAGCTTCTCATCCATAAAGAACTTTCTAAGAATTTTCATAGAAGCCCTATGTAAATTTCAGTTCATATACAACTATGTTCATGAACTACCACCAAAGTTCAAATCGCATTTTGAAATCCCCTCTCTTTATTGCCTTACAACATAAAAGCAATTGCCAGTCACTCAGTATCTGTCTTCTATATAAGGCCATACATTTTGTGAAAGCAGGCACCATTTTGGTCTAACTGGATCTCTTATGTCTAAGAAACTGCTTTGCCTAGAGGAGTTACTTGATAAACATTTGTTAATGCAATACTTTGTTTTTACATCATTTCTTCTTGTCTCTTCTTTTCAATTCCTATTTACACCAAAACAGGTAGTATCTTCTGTAATTTTCACCTGGGCTGTTAGGCTGGCCTTTTGGACTTAAGACTCCTCTCATTTCTTCAACCTGCCAAGCACATTGCTGCCCTAGAGTTTATGCACTCGCTGTTCCCTTAGTGAAAACATCTTTGTCTCAGAGAGCCACATGGTCACTCTTTCACCTCCCCTGGGTCTCTGTTCAAATGTTCTCCTATTGGTGAGAATACCTATTTAAAATGGCAGCCCCTGCTTTCCCTACCTGATCATTGAAATTTCACTCTTCCATTTAAGATCCATCTTAATTGCTGCAGGGAAAGCTCAGGATGAATGACTGGGATTGTAGTGCATGTGATCACAGAGGTCGGGGACCAAATCATGAAAGGCCCAGTAGAAAATCTGGAGAATTCTTTTACTATGAATGAGACAAGAAGCCATTGGAAGAGAAAAGTGACCAGGAAAACCAGTTAGAAGAATATTTAATATTCCCTATGAGAGAGAGAGAAAGAGAGAGAAAGGTGTCTTGAAAGTGAGTATTAATAATGGAGAATATGAATAAAATTGGCCAGTGAAATAAAAGTAGGATGTGAAAGAGAGGAGTCAAGGATGACCTTAAGGATTAAGGCCTGAGAAATTGGAGCAGTGGAATTTTCATTTACTAATTTGAGGAAAACTTTGGAGGAATAGTTTTTTTTGTTTGTTTGTTTGTCTGTTTGTTTTTGGAGATGAGAGTCTCACACTGTCACCCGGGCTGGAGTGGGGCAGTGGCACAATCTCAGCTCACTGCAACCTCCGCCTCCCTGGTTCAAGCGATTCTCCTGCTTCAGCCTCCCAAGTAGCTGGGATTACAGGTGTCTGCCACCACGACCAGCTAATTTTTAGTATTTTTAGTAGAGACAGGATTTCACTATGTTGGTCAGGCTGGTCCCAAACTCCTGACCTCGTCATCCGCCCACCTTGGCCTGCCAAAGTGCTGGGATTATAGGCATGAGCCACTGCTCCTGGCCAGGAATAGTTTTTAAAGCAAATATCAAGCTTTCAATTTAGGACATGTTAAGTTTGGAAATCTATTTAACATCCAAGTACAAGGTGATAGATAAAGTATAGGGTCAAGTAGGCAGTTGCATGTAAGATTCCAGCATTGAGGCGATAAATCCAGGCTTGGGATATGTACATATAAGTTCTCAGTAGATATGTGGTGTGTAAAGCCATGAAGCTGGGTGATATCACTGAAGAGTAAGAGTAAATAGAGAAGAGGTTCAGCACTGAGTCCTGAGACACCTCAACATGTAGAGACTGGGGAGGTGAGGAGAAGCCAGCAAAGGAAACTTAGAACAAGTTATGTAATAGGAGAAGACCAGGAGAGTGAACTATCTCAGAAGACAGAAAAGATGTTTCAAGGAGAAAGGAGTGATCAATTGTGTCAGTGTTTCTGATAACTTCAATAAGGTAAGGACTGTGAAATAACTGTTGGGACTAGAAACATAGAGGCCATTTCCATCCTTTCAAAGAGCAGTTTTAAGGGAGGTGACAAAAGCCTTGGTTCAAATAAGAAGGTAATAGGAGTCTACTTCAGGAGAAAAAAATGGCATGTGCAAAGCGTGTGAAGCAGGATTAGGGGGCTTTTTCCCTTTGTGAGAAATATGGCTAGTTTCTGGCCATTGAAAACTCTCATTTCCTGGCTTACATGATGTGTGTCCAAATAGACCATTCAAAGTTTAAAAACAAGGCAGAGATATGCCCAAAACATGCTTTATTATTATTATTATTGTGAAATTTTTCTGTATATCCTCTATATTTTTCCTTTTCTTCCTATTATGTTTTAGAGATATATTTATATTGGTATTTATAGATCTAGTTCAACCTTTTTAACTATAGTTAACTTGTTTCCAGATTCTTTTTTTTCCTCTTAAGCAATCACATTTATTCATTTTTAATCTATGAATTATTTAAAGTTTGTGTTTTTTAAACATTTCTAAACTAAAAGTTGATTGAAGCCTCACATGTGCTCTTCTAGAATTTTCTCTTCTAATAAGGCTTCTCATTCTCATGGTTAATTTAAAATGACTTCTAGGCCTTTAAAAAACCCACAGCTTCTTTTTTTTTTAAATTCAACTTTTATTTTAGATTCAGGGGGTACGTATGCAGATTTGTTTACATGTGTGTATTGCATGATACTGAGGATTGGGGAATGAATGATCCTGCCACCCAGGTAGTGAACATAATACCCAATAAGGTAGTTTTTCAGCCCTATCTCTCCTCCTCTCCCTGACTAGTAGTTCCAGTGTCTATTGTCCCCATCTTTATGTCCATATGTACCCAGTGCAAAAGAATGCTTTAAAGAAATTAAGGTGACATCAGCTTCATTAATGACTTTAGGAGAGAACATTCTAAGGCAATAAGGATTTTAATTTAAAAAACATAAAAGGCAAATTCAGCTTACTTGAACAATTAAATTTTTTTCTTTGGATTTTTACCCAAACGAACAGAGTTGCCATGAAATAGTCATCAAAAATTTGGGTAGTGAAACAACAATTAAAAGTAAATATTTTAAGCATGGAATTTTCAGACTTAGAATTTGTAGGTTTTATAAAATCTCAAAAATATGTAGAAAACACTCATTTTTAAATTCTTGAGGAAACTATACTTCGTAATTTATGACAAAGATGTTTGCAAGTTCATGTAATATCAAAGTATATGTTTAACTATGGAAAAATGTTTCATGTGTGGTCTGGTGAAATTGCTGTGAATTATTCAACCCTTAAAATATATTTGTGTTGTTATTTTCATGGTTCATAAAGCACTAATGTAAAACAGATTTTTAAACAGTCCTTGTACATTTGACACAGCTGTCATAGAACTAATGCAAACATTATGCATAAGTATATGATCAATGATGTAATGATTTAATGTACACATTAGTATATAATAATTCACTGCCAGACACTGGTGAGATTATAAAACTGATTTTCCAGGATCATAATTTAGTGATTGGAATATTAGATTAGCAGTGAGAAAAATCAGAGTTTTGGCATCTTTGATTTGTTTCATTATGTCAGGAAAACAGTATTCACTCTGTTTTATAAGGCAGAAGGAAGGATCAAAGGCAAAAAATGATAGGTCCTCTTCTAATGTGTCATTAATATTCATTAATATATGTATATTATTTTAATTTGCATTTTATATAAATAAAATATTAACTAATTTTATTAATTTTCCCAATATCATAAATTGTACAAAGAACCTACATAAAAGTGTGAGTGTGTGTGTTTCTTTTTGTTTGTTTTGCTTTTGTGAGACAAAGTCTTGCTCTGTGACCAGGCTGGAGTGCAGTGGCATGATCTCGGCTCACTGCAACCTCCGCCTCCTGGGTTCAAGTGATTCTCCTGCCTCAGCCTTCCGAGTAGCTGGGACTACAGGCATGCACCACCACACCCTGCTAATTTTTGTATTTTTAGTGGAGACAGGGTTTCACCATGTTGGCCAGGATGGTCTTGATCTCTTGACCTCGTGATTTGCTCATCTTGGCCTCCCAAAGTGCTGGGATTACAGGCATGAGCCACCGCGCCTGGCCAAGTGTGTGTGTTTTAAAGAAAACTTGAAAGGGCCAGGTGCGGTGGCTAATGCCTTTAATCCCAGCACTTTGGGAGGCCAACACGGGCAGATCACCTGAGGTCAGGAGTTCAACACCAGCCTGGTCAACATGGCGAAACCCTGTCTCTACTAAAAATACAAAAATTAGCCGGGCGTGGTGGCACACACCTGTAATCCCAGCTACTCGGGAGGCTGAAGCAGGAGAATCACTTGAACCTGGGAGGTGCAGGTTGCAGTGAGCCGAGATCTAGCCACTGTACTCCAGCCTGGTGACAGAGCAAGACTTTGTCTCACAAAAGCAAAACAAACAAAAAGAAACACACACACTCATACTTTTATGTAGGTTCTTTGTACAATATGTATGCTGAATGTATGTAGGTTCTTTGTACAATAATATGAAACTCAATAGAGTTTCATATTATTATTTGAAATTCATGTTATTATCGGAGGTGAGAATGAGCTGCTGAAGTGTTTCATAAATGATCTGATTACAACCAAATTCAGAGGTTGTCATTGAGCTATAGATAGCAAGCTTCATTTTTTATTAAAAAAGAGAAACAATTGATCTTTTTTTCAAGTGACTAAGGATAACTACATGTTATTTCCTTATATCTTGGCTAGAGTATTTTCTCCACCCTATATGTTTTGGCTTATATTCAGTAATTTTTGCCACATTTGGGCCCAGGTCTTTACCTCTGCACAAAGCTATAGTATCTATGGCTTGCTTGCTAATTCAGCACCCACATTCCTCACCTTCCCTGTGCTTGAACCCCATTCATTTGTTGTTGTTTCAGATTATCTAATTAAAAAATCCGTTTCCAATTTTCCCTATTACACTTCTCAATACCCTCATGTAACGTGTAGACACATTGGAAGATAATCTATCATTTTGCCCAATATAGGTGCTATTTCCCAAAAAGACTTACATATACATCTGCTTAAAAAGTCATGAAAAAAAATTTCACCTTTGGGAATAAATAAAGTATAGGTGGGGTGTTGGTATTAGAAGATAATTCTCTGTGAGTCACTCACATTTTCTGCAAGTCTTGGAAGATAGAGGTAGTGTCTCCCTCAGTATCAAAGAGCAGGTGTGTTTATTGCTCACTATAAAAGATTTAGGTTCCTGAAATGAAGGATTCTCTCCTACAGTGCATACCACTGCATATGCAGCAGTCACCTGGCTCTACTCTAATCACCCTGTGGAAATGGGGTTCAAAGAACTTGCAAAACTATGTTGATATGTTGGCTACTTGCTGTGCCAAGTTCTTTTTTTCTCAAACTGTGGCAACCTAACTTGTTAGCTTGCATGAAGGATAAAATCTCATGCCCTTCGTCGTTTTTGACAGTTTGTAATGAAGGGACATTGATAGAGACATTGCTTTCTGCCAAGGAAGAATGGCAAGAGTCGTACTGTGCCACAATGCAGTCTATCATGCCAAATTTAGAGTCATTCAGAGATGACGGCAAAAGTGCAAGATTTCCCTTAGATAGACAAACTCCCCTGGGAAATCATTAAATAAGGTATTAACTAGTGTTTGGGATCTTACTGCCCTGGATTAGGCTCATAATGCTGATGAAAGTGAAATACTATAAAATAAGACACTGACACAAAAGGACCTGGATAAATTCTTGTGGTCAGACCTGCTGTCCTACAAACTGCTCCTATCCCTTATGTTAAAATTGGTGAAAAATTGAGAGATGTTATCATGACAACATAGCAGCAAAAGACTTGGATTAAGATGCACACTTTTATTTTTATATTTATTTATTTATAGTTTTTCGATGTGCTTATTAGCCCCTTTTTAAACTTTCAAGCTCAAGGGTACACATCTAGTTTTGTTGCATAGATAAACTTGTGTCATGGGGTTTGTTGTACAGATTATTTCATCACACAGGTATTAAGCCTAGTACCCAGTAGTTATTTTTCCTGACCCTCCCCTTCCTCCCACCCTCCACCCTCCAAAAGACCCCAGTGTGTGTTGTTCCCCTCTAGGTGTCCATGTGATCTCATCATTTAGCTCCCACGTATAAGTGAGAGCATGCAGTATTTAGTTTTCTGCCTGTGTTAGTTTGCTAAAGATAATGGCTTCCAGCTCCATCCATGTCCCTGCAAAGGACATGATCTCATTCTTTTTTATGGCTGCATAGTATTCCATGGTGTATATGTATCACATTTTCTTTATCCAGTCTATTACTGATGAGCATTTAGGATGATTCCATATCTTTGCTATTGTGAATAGTGCTGCAATGAACATATATGTACATGTGTCTTTATAATAGAACAATTTATATTCCTTTGGGTATATACCCAGTAATGGGATTGCTGGGTCAAATGCTATTTCGGTTTTGGTCTTTGAGGAATTGCCACACTGTCTTCCACAATGGTTGTACTAATTTACACTCCCACCAACAGTGTATAAGTGATCTTTTTTTTCCATAACCTCGCCAGCATCGCTTTTAAAAGTTACTGCTATTCGAGTCAATCCCTAGTCAGCTGATGGGCATAAACCTGCAGATCTAGACAGAAGACCATGTGAGCTATGTCTACTTAGGGAAAGCATTCTCCAAGCTGAATAAATGGAATCAGTAATGACAACCTTGCTGCCTCTTATACGGCTTTTGGTGTAATGAAAACATTAGAAGTTTGTTTGGTTTATCTGTGAGCAGCCTCTATATTAGAAGTTTGTTTGGTTCATCTGTGAGCAGCCTCTGTACTGCTTGAAACTGAATACAAATATGTCTTACTCACTTGTGTGGAGCCTCTTTCTCCCTCCACATTTCCTGATCTCTAACTTTCTCCTTTTACCTAACCTCAGCTGCGTTAAGTAGAAAGTTGATTAGCAGAGGCACCAATATCTTCTCATCTCTAAATAGTTTTTTAGACAATGTGCACTTGTCTTAGCATGCTGGGGAACTTCAGAAATGAGAAGGACTCAAACTTTTAGGGGTTCTTTGGAGAAAGACATTCAAATCTTTATCTTAGCCTGTCCCACATGGGGAGAGGAATCCAAATTTAACTGATGGGGCCTGAGAAAGTTCTACAGTAGTGATTGGAAGCTAATGTGACATTGTATGACTTGTCATTTGAGGCTAACTCAATGTTCTATTGCTGTAGATTTCAATCTGAATATGTAGTACCTATATGCTTGTATATTCATTCTTGTTCCATAAATGCCACAGAGAGTCCCTCAGTCAAGATTAAAAACCTTTGGGGCTCCACAACTTAGTGACACCTTTGAGCTACAAGTTTCTCTGACTAATTATTTTAAGGACTGTAGCATCTGGCCTTGGGAGGCAGCCTTCATCCTTTGGTGTTAAGGTATACCCCTTGGGGTTTTGTATTTCTCTCCTCCATGTCATAGGCTCTTGGGAAATCTCCTTTTGACAAGCAGCTATTAGCTTGCCATGGAATCTTACTGAAATTGAATGCCTGGCCAGTGAAGGCCTTGTGACTTTAATCTAATAGTCTTCACTTTGGGATGGGTCAACTTGGACTCTGACTGTAGGAAGAGCCCAGTCTATCTCTCTTGTAAAATGCAATGAAAATAAAATAGCCAAGAACACAGCTGGCTTGGCTCCAGCATCGTCTCAGCTTTACATTTAAAAGTGACAATTATCCTTTTGAGAGAAGCTTTATCGCTTATTCAGACTTCTAAAATAAAGTAACCAGCTCAACAGGGCTCTCAGTTCACAAAGATTCCCCTAAATGCCTGTGCCTCACTAACTGTTAAACCAAACTAATACTGTTGAGTGTTTAACTGGCCTCCTCAAAAATCTACTGAAATAATTTCTGATTTTACCCTCTGTCACCTCTTCTGGTTCACACATCTTGTAAGATTGGTCACTCAATGTGGCTGTCACCTGAAAGTAGTTATTTTCCCTTAATCATTACTTGGGTGTATAGTAGGTTGAATTGTGCTCCCCTAAAATTCATGTATATCTGGGACCTCAGAATGTACCCTTACTAAGAAAAACCATCTATGCTGATGTACTTAGTTATGGATCTTGGGATGAATTCATCCTGGATTTGAGGTTGGCCCTAAATTCAAAGAATTTTAGACCAATATCCCTGATGAACACCGATGCAAAAATCCTCAATAAAATACTGGCAAACCAAATCCAGCAGCACATCAAAAAGCTTATCCACCATGATCAAGTGGGCTTCATCCCTGGGCTGCAAGGCTGGTCCAACATACGCAAATCAATAAATGCAATCCAGCATATAAACAGAACCAAAGACAAAAACCACATGATTATCTCAATAGATGCAGAAAAGGCCTTTGACAAAATTCAACAACGCTTCACGCTAAAAACTCTCAATAAATTAGGTATTGATGGGACATATCTCAAAATAATAAGAGCTATCTACGACAAACCCACAGCCAATATCATACTGAATGGGCAAAAACTGGAAGCATTCCTTTTGAAAACTGGCACAAGATAGGGATGCCCTCTCTCACCATTCCTATTCATCATAGTGTTGGAAGTTCTGGCCAGGGCAATCAGGCAGGAGAAAGAAATAAAGGGTATTCAATTAGGAAAAGAGGAAGTCAAATTGTCCCTGTTTGCAGATGACTTGATTGCATATCTAGAAAACCCCATTGTCTCAGCCCAAAATCTCTTTAACCTGATAAGCAACTTCAGCAAAGTCTCAGGATACAATATCAATGCGCAAAAATCACAAGCATTCTTATACATCAATAACAGACAAGCAGAGAACCAAATCATGAGTGAACTCCCATTCACAATTGCTTCAAAGAGAATAAAATACCTAGGAATCCAACTTAGAAGGGATGTGAAGGACCTCTTCAAGGAGAACTACAAACCACTGCTCAACAAAATAAAAGAGGATACAAAGAAATGGAAGAACATTCCATGCTCATGGATAGGAAGAATCAATATTGTGAAAATGGCCATACTGCCCAAGGTAATTTATAGATTCAATGCCATCCCCATCAAGCTACCAATGACTTTCTTCACTTAATTGAAAAAAACTACTTTAAAGTTCATATGGAACCAAAAAAGAGCCTGCATTGCCAAGTCAATCCTAAGCCAAAAGAACAAAGCTGGAGGCATCATGCTACCTGACTTCAAACTATACTACAAGCCTACAGCAACCAAAACAGCATGGTACTGGTATCAAAACAGAGATATAGACCAATGAAACAGAACAGAGCCCTCAGAAATAATACCACACATCTACAACTATCTGATCTTTGACAAACCAGACAAAAACAAGAAATGGGGAAAGGATTCCCTATTTAACAAATGGTGCTGGGAAAACTGGCTGGCCATATGTAGAAAGCTGAAACTGGATCCCTTCCTTACACCTTATACCAAAATTAATTCAAGATGGATTAAAGACTTAAACGTTAGACCTAAAACCATTAAAAACCCTAGAAGAAAACCTAGGCAATACCATTCAGGACATAGGTATGAGGAAGGACTTCATGTCTAAAACACCAAAAGCAATGGCAACAAAAGCCAAAATTGACAAATGGGATCTAATTAAACTAAAGAGCTTCTGCACAGCAAAAGAAACTACCATCAGAGTGAACAGGCAACCTACAGAATGGGAGAAAATTTTTGCAATCTACTCCTCTGACAAAGGGCTAATATCCAGAATCTACAAAGAACTCAAACAAATTCACAAAAAAAAAAAACAAAAAACCCCATCAAAAAGTGGGAGAAGGATATGAACAGACACTTCTCAAAAGAAGACATTTATGTAGCCAACAGACACATGAAAAAATGCTCATCATCACTGGCCATCAGAGAAATGCAAATCAAAACCACAATGAGATACCATCTCACACCAGTTAGAATGGCAATCCTTAAAAAGTCAGGAAACAACAGGTGCTGGAGAGGATGTGGAGAAATAGGAACACTTTTACACTGTTGGTGGGACTGTAAACTAGTTCAACCATTGTGGAAGTCAGTATGGCGATTCCTCAGGGATCTAGAAATAGAAATACCATTTGACCCAGCCATCCCATTACTGGGTATATACCTAAAGGAATATAAATCATGCTGCTATAAAGATACATGCACACATATGTTTATTGTGGCACTATTCACAATAGGAAAGACTTGGAACCAAGCCAAATGTCCAACAATGATAGACTGGATTAAGAAAATGTGGCACATATACACCATGGAATACTATGCAGCCATAACAAAGGATGTGTTCCTGTCCTTTGTGGGGACATGGATGAAGCTGGAAACCATCATTCTCAGCAAACTGTCGCAAGGACAAAAAACCAACCACCACATGTTCTCACTCATAGGTGGGAATTGAACAATGAGAACACTTGGACACAGGAAGGGGAACATCACCCACCAGGGCCTGTTGTGGGGTGGGGGGTGGTGGGAGGGATAGCGTTAGGAGATATACCTGATGTAAATGACGAATTAATTGGTGCAGCACACCAACATGGCACATGTATACATATGCAACAAGCCTGCACGTTGTGAATACGTACCCTAGAACTTAAAGTATAATAAAAATATATATATAAAAGAAAACACAGGGAGATTTGGACATAGAGAGACACACAGAAGCCCATGTGAAGATGAAGGCAGAAATTGGAGTTATGTTGCCATAAGTCAGGGAATTCCAGGAGCCACCAGAAACTGGAAGAGTCAAGGAAAGATTCTTCCTTAACACTTCAGAGAGAGCATGTCCCTGTCTATTTTGTACTTCTGGCCATCAGATCAAGGAAAGAATAAATTTCTGCTGATTTAAGCCACCAAGTGTATGACCATTTGTTATAGCAGTCTTAGGAAACAAACATACTGGGTAATAATAAAGAAGAAGGAAAGGAGGGTGCTATAAATGAATTTTGAAAATTTGGAATTTCAACCTGTCCTTTCCAGGGTATGATGCATCTTTCTTTCCCCTAACTGCAACCCCAGATTGGCCTGGTCATGTACCTTTCAGGTACAACTTGGCCAAAAGTGGGGGCATAGTGTATTCAAATTCAGTTCTGGCTCAGCCATCTGGAGTTTGCTCTTGGATTGACGTGGTCCTAGATCATACAAATAATGACCACTTGGTTGAATATACCTGCTGGTAGAGTTCTTCTATATAGAGACCCATGAGGGCCAAAGCAGGAAGCCTGATGTCTCTCTGTGAATTTTATAAAAATATTATCTGTGGCACCAGCTGCTGAAGGTGGTATAATCAAAGCTTAGGAATGGATGCGGAGAGGTGGTCGTCTCTACTCAGTGCACCACTGTGGACTTGGCAGCAGATCTTCCCATCAGGACTGAGAAGCATGAGCTGAAAGTGACCTCTTCTCAGGCTTCTGCAGCAGCTCCACCCCACTGAAGGTGAATGTGTACTGGGGGAGGGTTGTTGTTGTTTTTTTTTGTTGAGACAGAATCTTGCTGTGTTGCCCAGGCTGGAGTGTAGTGGGGCAATCTCGGCTCACTCCAAGCTCCGCCTCCCAGGTTCACGCCATTCTCCTGCCTCAGCCTCCCCAAGTAGCTGGGACTACAGGCGCCCACCATCACGTCCGGTTAAATTTTTGTATTTTTAGTAGAGACGGGGTTTCACCGTGTTAGCCAAAATGGTCTCGATCTCCTGACCTCATGATTGAGGGAGGGTTTTTTTTTTTTAATGCATCTCTATTGCCTCTTTTCCTGCCCCTACATGCTATTTCTTACTCCTAAATGCCATCTACTGGAAGAACCCTGAATTACATCACCATACAAAGTTACGCTGCTACCACAGGCAATGTCTGAGAAAACCATAGCACAAACCTATCTGCAACCAAGGAACATGTACAGAGCCTTGACACCATGAAAGCACCCAGAAATGAAGCCAATAAATTATACACAGCACACACCACAGTAATACCCTCAAGGGAAAAAAGAATTAAAAATCAAGAAGCTCCTTACAAGCGATAGCAAATCAAAAAAAAAAAAATCAGTTATCTCAGATGAGAAGAAACCAGTGCAAGAATTCCAGCAACACAAAAAGCCAGATTGTTTCATCATCTCCAAAGGATAGTTCTCAAGTAATTCATCCTATCTGGAATGAAATGTCTGAAATGACTGGTATAGAATTCAGGATGTGGATGGCAAAGAAACTCAATGAGATCTAAGAGAAAATTGAAATCCAACACAAAGAAGGCAGAAAAATGATCAAAAAATTGAAAGACAACATAGCTATATTAAGAAAGAACCAAACAGAACTTAGAGAATTGAAAATTTCACTACAGAAATTTCAAAATACAATTGGAAGCTTTAATAACATACTAAACCAAACAGAAGAAAGAATTTCAGACTTTGAAGACAGATCCTTCAAATCAACCCAATCAGGCAAAACCAAAGAATGAAGAATTTAAAATTATGAACAAAGCTTTAAAGGAATATGGGATTATGTAAAGTGACCAAATCTATAACTTATTGGAATTCCTGAGAGCGAAGAGGAAAGTAAGCAAATTGAAAACATGTTTGAGGATATAATTCATGAAACTTTCCCCAATCTTGCTAGAGGTTGACACGTAGATACAAGAAATCCAGAAAACTCCTGTGAGATACTGTACAAAATTACTATCCCCAAGGCACAGTCATCAGACTATCAAAGGTCAATGAGAAAGAAAAAATCTTAAAGGCAGCTAGAGAAAAAGGTAATATTACCTATAAAAAGAAACCCATCAGATTAACAGCAGATTTCTCAGTAGAACTTTATTAGTGTACCATTTTTAGCAATCTTAAAAAAGGAAATTCCAACCAGGAATTTTCTATTCCTCCAAACTAAGCTTCATAAATGAAGGAAAAATAAAATCTTTCTTAGCCAAGCAATCACTGAGGGAATTCATTACCATGAGGCCCTGTAAGAGGTTTTTAAGGGAGTTCTAAACATGGAAATGAAAGAACAATATATGTTACCACAAAAGTACACATAAGAACATAGCCTACAGACTCTATAAAACAACTACACAATAAAAACTACAAAGCAACTGGTAAAAAATACCACAAGAAAAAAAGCTCACATATCACTATTAACCTTGAACATGAATTACCTAAATGCTCCACTTAAATGACATAGATTGGCAAATTGGATAAAAAAAAACAAGATCCATCCTTCTCTTGTGTTCAAGAGACCCATTTTACATGTAATGACACCCCCAGGCTCAAAGCAAAGGGATAGAGACAGATCTATCACACAAATGGAAAACAGAAAGGAGGAGTGGCCACTTTTCTTATATTAGATAAAGTAGACTTTAAACCAACAACAGGAGAAAAGAAAACAAGAAGGCATTACATAATGATAAAATGTTCAACTCAACAAGAAGACTTAATTATCCTAAATATATATAGACTCAAATTTGGAGGGCCTAGACTTCTAAAACAATGACTTCCAGACG